>NC_000009.12:102462976-102614491 GCF_000001405.40 Homo sapiens
CAAAGGAAAGAATCTTAAAGAGCTGCGAGAGAAAAGCACCAGGTAACCTATAAACCAAAACCAATCATATTAACAGCAGATTTCTTAGCAGAAACCCTACGAGCTAGAAGGGATTAGGGTCCTATTTTTAGCCTCCTTAAACAAAACAATTATAGCTAAGAATTTTGTACCCAGTGAAACTAAGCTTCATACATGAAGGAAAAGTACAGTCTTTTACAAACAAAAAAATGCTGACAGAATTTGTCACTACCAAGACTACACTTAAAAGATATAGAATGACAGAATGAATAAGTCACCAGCCAAGTTTCTGCTGTTTTCAGGAGACTCACTTAACACATAAAGACTCACATAAACTTAAGGTAAAGGTGTGGAAAAAATATTCCTTGCAAATGGACAGCAAAAGTGAGCAGGAGTAGCTATTCTTATTTCAGACAAAACAAACTTTAAACAACAGTTGAAAAACACAAAGAGAGGCATTATATAAAGATAAAAGGACTAGTCCAACAGGAAACTATCACAATACTAGATATATATGTATCTAACACTGGAGTTCCCAAATTTATAAAACAATTAGTACTAGACTTAAGAAATGAGATAGACAGCAACACAATAATAGTGGAGAACTTGAATACTCCACTGACAGCACTAGACAGGTCATCAAGACAGAAAATCAACAAATA
This sequence comes from Homo sapiens, assembly GCF_000001405.40. Taxonomy (NCBI): domain Eukaryota; kingdom Metazoa; phylum Chordata; class Mammalia; order Primates; family Hominidae; genus Homo; species Homo sapiens. The sequence goes on from NC_000009.12 coordinate 102,463,657, forward strand.
AACAATGAACTTAAACTATACCCTACAACAAATGGACTTAACAGAAATTTACAGAACATTCTACCCAACAAGTGCAGAATATACATGAGCACATGGAACATTCTCTGAGGTAGATCATATGATAGGTCACACAACAAGTCTCAGTCAATCTAAGAAAATTAAAAGTATAGCAAGTACTCTCTCAGACGAGAGTGGAATAAAATTGGAAATCAACTGCAAAAGAAACCCTCAAAACCATGCAAACATATGGAAATTAAATAACCTGATTCTGAATGATTGTTGGGTTAACAATGAAATCAAGATGAAAATTAAAAAATTCTTTGAACTAAACAGTAATAGTAACACAGCATATCAAAACCTCTTAAATACAGCAAAAGCAGTGCTAATGGGAAAGTTGATACCATTAAATCCTTACATTAAAAAGTCTGAGACTGGAAGAAGCAACTCATGCCTGTAATCCTAGCACTTTGGGAGGTCAAGGCGGGTGCATCACCTGAGGCCAGGAGTTTGAGAGTAGCCTGGCCAACGTGGCAAAACCACGTCTCTACTAAAAGTAAAAAAAAAATTAGCCGGGTATGGTGGTGGGCGCCGGTAATCCCAGCTACATGGGAGCCTGAGGCAGGAGAATTGTTTGAAACTGGGAGACAGAGGCTGCAGTGAACCAAGATTGCATTGTTGCACCCCAGCCTGGGAACAAAAGTGAAACTCCGTCTAAAAAAAACAAAACAAAAAACTAACAAACAAACAAAAAAAGTCTGAAAGAGCACAAATAGACAATCTAAGGACACACCTCACAGAACTGCAGAAACAAGGACAAACCAAACCCAGTAGAAGAAAATAAATAATGAAGATCAGAGCAGAACTAAATGAAACTGAAACCAAAAACATACAAAAGATAAATGAAATGAAAATTTGGTTATATGAAAAGATAAATAAAATTGATAGACCATTAGAGAGACTAACTAAGAAAAGAAGAGAGAAGATCCAAATAAGCGCTGTTAGAAATGAAATGGGAGATATTACAAACTATACCACAGAAATACAAACGATTATCCAAGGCTGCTATGAACACCTTTACATACATAAATGAGGAAACCTAGAGGAGATGGATAAATTCATGAAAATATGCAACCCTCCTAGATTAAACCAGGAAAAGATAGAATCTCCGAACAGACCAATAACAAGCAGCCAGATTGAAATGGTAATTTAAAAACAGCCAACAAATTAAGTCCGGGACCAGATGGATTCACAACTGTATTCTATCAGACATTCAAAGAAGAATTGTTACCAATCCTATTGACACTATTCCACAAGATACAGAAACATGGAATCCTCCTTAAATCATTCTATGAAGCCAGTATCACCCTAATGCCAAAACCAGGAAAGGACATAACAAAAATTAATAAATAAAATAAAGAAAATTACAGACCAATTTCCCTGATGAACATAGATAGAAAAATCCTCAACAAAACACCAACAGCTTATCAAACCTAACAGCATATCAAAAAGATAATCCAGGTTTCATACCAGGGATGCAGGGATGGTTTAACATCCACAAATCAATAAGTAAAATTCACCACATAAAGAGAATTAGAAACAAAATTCACAGGATCATCTCAATACACGAAGAAAAAGCATTTTACAAAATCTGGCGTCCCTTTATGATAAAAACTCTGAGCAAAATCAACATAAAAAAAGACAAAGTAATAAAAGCCATCTATGACAAACCCACACTCAACATTATACTGAATAAGGAAAAGCTGAAAGCATTTCCCCTGAGAACTGGAACAAGACAAGGACGCCCACTTTCACCACTTCTATTCAACATAGTACTGGAAGTCCTAGCCAGAGCAATCATACAAGAGAAAGAAATAAAGGGCATCCAAATCAGTAAAAAAGAATTCAGACTGTCATTGCTGATGATATAATGGTATACCTAGAAAGCCCTAAAACCTCATCCAAGAAGATCCTAGAACTGGCAAATGAATTCAGTAAAGTTTCAGGATACAAAACTAGTGCACACAAGTCAGTAGCTCAACTATATACCAACAGCAACCAAGATGAGAATGAAATCAAGAACTCAACCCCTTTCACAATACATGCAAAAAAAATGAATAAATAAAATACTTAGGAACATACCTAACCAAGAACATGAAAGACCTCAACAAGAAAAACTACCTAACACTGCCAAAAGAAATCATAGATGACACAAAGAAATTGAAACACATCCCATACTCACGGATAGGTAGAACCAATATTGTGAAAATGACCATATTGCCAAAAACAATCTACAAATTCAATGCAATTCCCATCAAAATACTACAATTCTTTTTCACAGAATTAGAAAAAACAATCCTAAAATTCATATGGAACCAAGAAAGAACCTGCATAGACGAAGCAAGACTAAGCAAAAATAATAAATAATAAATCTGGAGGCATCACATTCCCTGACTTCCAACTACAACAGAAGGCCATAGTCACCAATACAGCATGATACTGGTATAAAAATAGGTGCATAAACCAATGGAACAGACCAGATAACCCAGAAATAAAGCCAAATACCTGCAGCCAGCTGATTTTTTGATACAGCAAACAAAAACATAAAGTGAGGAAAGGACACCCTATTCAACAAATGATGCTGGGATAATCGGCAAGCCACATGTAGAAGAATAAATTGGATCCTCATCTTTCACATTGTACAGAAATCAACTCAAGATGGGTCAAAGATTTAAATCTAAGACCTGAAACCATACAAATTCTAGAAAATAATGTCGGAAAAACCCTTCTAGACATTGGTTTAGGTAAAGACTTCATGACCAAGAACCCAAAAGCAAATGCAACAAAGACAAAGATAAATAGATGAGACTCAATTAAACTAAAAAGCTTTTGCACAGCAAAAGAACTAATCAACAGAGTTAACAGACAACCCACAGAGTGGAAGAAAATCTTCACAATCTATACATCCAACATAGGAATAATATCCAGAATCTATAAAGAACTCATGCAAATCAGCAAAAAAAAATAATAAAAAAATGATCTCATCAAAATTGGGCTAAGGACATGAATAGATAATTCTCAAAAGAAAATCTATGAATGTCCAACAAAGATTTAGAAAAATACTCAACATCACTTATTATCAGGGAAATGCAAATCAAAACCACAAAACCACAATGGGATACCACCTTATTCCTTCAAGAATGGCCATAATCAAAAAATCAAAAAAATAATAGATGTTGGTGGGGATATGTTGAAAGGCAACACTTTTACACATTGATGGGAATGTAAACTAGTACAATCACTATGGAAAGCAGTGCGGGAAGTCCCTAAAGAACTAAAAGTAGATCTACCGTTTGATCCAGCAGTCCCACTACTAGGTATCTACCCAGACAGAAAGAAGTCATTATATAAGATACCTGCACAAGCATGTTTATAGCAACACAATTTGCAATTGCAGAAATATGAAACTATCCCAAATGCTCATCAATCAATGAGTGGATATAGAAAAAATACACACACACACACACCCCATAGAATACTACGCACCATAAAAAGAAATGAAATAATGGCATTCACTGAAACCTGGGTGGAACTGAAGACTGTTATTCTAAGTGAAGTAACTCAGGAATGAAAAACCAAACACCATACGTTCTCACTCACATGTGGAAGCTGAGCTATGAGGACGCAATGGCATAAGAATGATACATTGGGACTTTGGGGACTCCAGGAAAAGGGTGTGGGTTGGCAAAGGGCAAAACACTACACATTGGGTAAAGTGTACATTGCTCAGGTGATGGGGGCAAAAACATCTTAGAAATCACCACTAAAGAACTTATTCATGTAGCTGGCCAGGCGCAGTGGCTCATGTGTCTCAGCCCAGCACTTTGGGAGGCTGAGGTGGGTAGACCACTTGAAGTCAGGAGTTCAAAACCAGCCTGGCCAACATGGCAAAACCCCGTCTCTACTAAAAATACAAAAAAATTGCTGGGCATGGTGGCTGCTGCCTGCAGTCCCACCTACTCGGGAGGCTGTGGCAGGAGAATCGCTTGAATTTGGGACACAGAGGTTGCAGTGAGCAAAGATCATACCACTGCAGTCCAGCCTGGGTTATGGAATGAGGGTCTATCTCAAGGAAAAAAAAAAACAAAACTTTTTCATGTAATCAAACACCAGCTGTTTTCCAAAAACCAATTTAAATAAAAAAAAATTAAAAAAAATAAGAAACCATCACCGTCAATAGAGTAAACAGACAACCTACAGAATGGGAGAAAATTTTGCAAAGTATGCATCTGGATAAAAGTCTAATATCCAGCATCTATAAGGAACTTAAAAAGTTACAAGAAAAAAACAAACCACCTCATTAAAAAGTGTGCAAAAGACATGAAAAGATACTTCTCAAAAGAATACATACATGCAGCCAACAATCATTTTAAAAAGCTTAACATCACCGATTATTAGAGAAATGCAAATCAAAACCACAATGATATACCATCTCACAACAGTCAGCATGATTATTATTAAAAAGTCAAAAATAACTGACGCTGGCAAGTTTATGGAAAAGAAACACTTTTAATCTGTTGGTGGGACAGTGAATTAGTCTAACTATTGTGGAAGATAGTGCGGTGATTCCTCAAAGACCTAGAGACACAAATGCCATTTGACCCAGCAATTCCATTACTTGGTATATACCCCAAAGAATATAAATCATTCTATTATAAAGACACATGTACGCATATGTTCACTGCAGCACTATTCACAATAGCAAAAACATGGAATCAACCTAAATGCCTATCAATGATAAACTGGATAAAGAAAATCTGGTACATGTACACGATGTAATGTTATGCAGCCATAAAAAAGAATGAGATCATGTCCTTTGAGGGACGTGGACGGAACTGGAGACCATTATCCTTAGCAAACTAACACAGGAACAGAAAACTGAATACCATACATTCTCACTTATAAGGGGGAGCTAAATGATGAGAACTGATGGACACATAGAAGGGAACAACGAACGCATACTGGGTCCTACAGCAGGGTGGAGGGTTGAGGCAGGGAGAGAGGATCAGGAAAAATAACTGGTGGGTACTAGACTTAATTCCTGGATAATGAAATACTCTGTACAACAAACCCCCATGACACATGTTTACCTATGTGACAGACCTGCACATCCTGCATATGTACCCCAGAACTTAAAATAAAAGTTAACAAAAAGATAGGGTGGCATTATTAACATAAGAGATCAATGAAATAAAGTTGAATCCAGAAATAAAGCTGTATATGCATGTAGTCAATTGATTTTCAACAAGGTTGTCAAGACAATTCAAAAGAAAAATAATCTTTTAAACAAATAGTGGTGGAACAACTGGATATCCATATACAAAAGGATAAATTTGGACTCCTTCTCTGCACTACACACAAAAAGAAACTTCAAATGAAACACATAAACTATAGTTACCAATATATACTATTCTTAAGAAATGCTAAGAGAGTGAATGTAAAGTGTTCTCACCACAAAAAATAGAGCCATGTGAGGTAATGCATATATGAATTAGCTAGATTTAGTCATTCCACAATGTATATATACTTCAAAACAATATGTAGTCTACAGTGAAGAAATACAATTTTATCTTTCAATTTAAGAAAATAAATAACAAGGCCGGGTGCGGTGGCTCACGCCTGTAATCCCAGCACTTTGGGAGGCCGAGACGGGCGGATCACGAGGTCAGGAGATCGAGACCATCCTGGCTAACATGGTGAAACCCCGTCTCTACTAAAAATACAAAAAATTAGCTGGGCATAGTGGCGGGCGCCTGTGGTCCCAGCTGCTTGGGAGGCTGAGGCAGGAGAATGGCTTGAACCTGGAAGGCGGAGCCTGCAGTGAGCCGAGATCGCGCCACTGCAATCCAGCTTGGGCGACTAAGTCAGACTCTGTCTCAAAAATATAAATAAATAAATAAATAAATAAATAAATAAATAAATAAATAAATAATAAAATAAAATATAACAAAAAAGGGATAAAAATTTAATACTCTCAGAAGAAAATAAAGGAGTAAATCTTTGAGATTCTGGGTTAAGCAAAGCCCTCCCAGCTATGACAACAAATTTTGAAATGACAAAAAAAAAGATAGATTAAAATTAAAAAAACAAAAAACCTTTGTGTTTTAAAGGATACCATCAAGATATATAAAATCATTTCACAGATTGAGATAAAATATTTATAAATTATCTGCCTGATAAGAACTTGTATCTAGAATATATAAAGAACTTCTACAACTCAATAATAAAAAGACAAATTCCCCAACTAAAACATGGACAAAAGATCTTAATAGAGCCTTTTCCTAAGAAGTACAAATTATTAATAAGAACATCAAAATATGCTAGAAATCATTATTTAGTGGTGAAAAGCAAGTAAAAATAAGAATGAGACATCACTGCCTACCCACTATGATGACTATAACAGAAAGATGATATCAAGTGTTTGTAAAGATGTGGAGAAACTGAACACTTCCTACACATACTGCTGGCATGGGTGTGAAATAGTGAAGATATTTTGAAAAATAGTCTGGGAGTTCCTTCAAAAGCCTAAACCTGGAGCAATTCAACTTCTAGATGAATACCCAAGAGAAATAAAAACTTATAAGCACATTGTAGATGTGTTTATCAAAACATCACATTATTCCCCATAAATGTAAACAGCTATAAATTGTCAATTTAAAATATTATTAATAAAAAATAAAATAAAATGAATAAAACTCAACTCCAAGGAGATTATCAATGACAAAAAAACCCCACATATTCACACCAAAACTTGTATATGAATGTTCATATTAGAATTATTCATAATAGTTTATCATAAAAGTAACCAATTGTCACGACATTAGTCCATTGTTTTCTCTCTAAAAGAAAACACTTGAGGCTGGGTAATTTATAAAGTAAAGAGGTTTAATTGGCTCATGGTTCTGCAAGAAGCACAAGCATGGCACCGGCATCGACTCAGCTTCTAGTGAGACCTCAGAGAACTTTGACTCATGGCAAAAGGCAAAGTGGGACTAGGCATATTACATAGAGAAAGAAGGAGCAAGAGAGATATGCAGAGTAGCCAGGCTCCTTTAAACAACCAGCCCTCTGGTGAACTCAGAGCAAGAACTCACTCAGTACCATGAGGAGGGCACCAAGCCATTCATTCATGAGGGAACCACCTCTATGACTCAAACATTTCCCACCAGGCCTCACCTCCAACACTGAGGATTAGATTTCTTTTTCTTTTCCTTTTTTTTTTTTTTTTTAGACGGAGTCTTGCTCTGTTGCCCAGGCTGCAGTACAGTGGCATGATGTCAGCTCACTGCAGCCTCTGCTTCCTGGGTTCAAGCAGCTCTCCTGCCTCAGCCTCCCAAGTAGCTGAGATTACAGGTGCCTGCCACCATGCCTGGCTAATTTTTGTATTTTCAGTAGAGACGGTGTCTTATTATGTGGCCAGGCTGGTATCAAATTCCTGATCTCGTGATCCCCCCACCTTGGCATCTCAAAGTGCTGGGATTAGAGGCATGAGCCACTGTGCCCAGCTGGGGATTACATTTCAACATGAGATTTCGAGGGGGAAATCATTCAAACGATATGAATCTCCAAAATGACCCAGTGGGTAAATAAAATCTGTTATATACAATGGGACATTATTCACTCATAAAATGGAATGTAGTCTAGATACATGCTATTAGGCAGATAAACCTTGAAAACACTGTACTGAAGAATATGGAAGTAGGCTTTATAGTTATTCCTATTGGTTTGTAGACAAACCCAATGCTCTGTCAGTCTAATCAGCTTTCCCAAAATACACAATTAGCAAGGAGCAGAGCTGTCTTCTGTTTCACATCGCTTGCACTTTCCTACACGTCTCATTGTGAAATCACACCTTCCTTTTAAAATTTTTCTTAAGAAAAATTCACTGAGTGTCCTAATTTTGGAATGTCTTATCTAAAGTTGGTGAAGATAGTAAGACAGTATATTAAATGGGTGAGTTGTAGAGCACTGGTAAAAGTTTGCTCTAGGTGTAAAGGTACAGAAAGAAATAGAATACAAACATATTCCTTGGATGCCACAAGATATAGACTTTAGAGCATTGATTAGACTTAAGGACTGATACAGAATCTCTCATAGCCTAACGGTGTAAAAGGCAGCAAGCCCACATTTCTAAGTATCTTTAATATGTATTGATGCCAACATTGCAAGCGCTACAACAATCATCAAAATTGTGGCCTATCTCTATGGGGAAACAGAGAGCCAGTGCGTAGCTATGTCCACTCTCTTATGCCTTTTATATATCCTTGATACTAACTTATTCATCATTTTGATAATAAGCCAAGATGAAGCAGCTTTGAAATTAGGCCAAGTTCTCATATTTACTAATCTGAAAATGCTTGATCACTTGGAGTTGTTTAGTCAGTTTTATTTCAACTCAGAAATCACTCGTGTTTACAATTCTGACTGCAGAGCATCTTTCAGAACAAGTAACTATTCAGGTGAGATTGATTATGAATTAGAACCGTACTATTTGTATGTCTGGTGTAGTGAATGATAGGAGCAAAGGATAAGTGGAAGACATCTTTTTCCACTGTGTTCACAAAGCAGGGAAACTGTCAAAAATAAATTGAAAACAAAATTTCTTCCAATTTTGCTTTGAGGAAATTGGACAATGAATATTCATTGACAATAAAAATTGAGATGTTTGCCCAGATCCAAGATAAATATTGGTTCTTCAATCTAAAGTAAAAAGTATTAATAGTGTTTTAACCTTTCTGAATGAAAACACCAGCAAAAAGAAAAAAGAAAAAAACAGTCTGTCTGGATTCTGGAAACAGCAGTATAATCAGTGCTTGATGTGATCTCCTTTATGTCTAAGTGGCATAAATTAAACATTTTCCATTTGTGTCTCTTACAGAGGTTTAGAATGTTCCTGTCCTGAATACTGATTTCTAACAAGTTGGAAATGTAGACCTGACAATGTCGCGGAACACTCGCAGTTTGAATGTGTGCTCAGACATATATTCTGTTAATAATCTCAATTGAATTCATACAAAGGAGAGAAGAATAGATAAAACTTCATCACTCTTATTTTCTTGGCTCAAAAATAATTTAAAATTTCCCAAATTGGCTCCCACTAATGGAAAATACAAATATGTGTAAGAAAAATTGAGATTTTTGTGTTAAGCAATAATGTATCTGCTTACTATTGCTAAAAAGTCACAGCTGTGTAAAATCTTAATAAATATCTCCACTATTTTTTCCTCCAAAGGAGGCTAGTGATGCTGAGTGCTTGCCATGAACATTCAAGAACATGAACATTTTACTGTACTTGGATCCAAGTGGCATATCTGGAAATAAGGTAAGTAATCAAAGAGGCAGGGGAGATGTTTATATTTCCACCTTGCTGTTACTGCATTTTCACCATCTTCCTAACCTTCATGCTAGTCTCAATTCATGACACTTAATCACATCCTGTTGACAGATGGTTTGCTTTTGTTGTTGCTGTTATTATTTATAATGATCATTCAAAACTATTAGAAAGGAATTCATTGTATCAGTTATAAACAGGCACTCATTCATTCAATAGTTTATTAGTCTTACCATGTATCAGGCAAAATGCTGGGCAAATGAACACTTCACTGAGGAAAACAGAACCTTTCTTGACTGCATTCGTTCATTAGTTACATCAATGATGTTTTTGTTTCATTTTTGGATAAAACATTTTGATTTTTAAGAGCTATGGGAGAAAAAGGAAAAGGGAATCATTCATTCCATGCATCCATCTGCAGAGACAATAAAGAGCATTATTCTAAACTTTCTTCTGCCAGTTAACAGGTAATGTAAACCTTGGATAAATTATAAAATCACTTAGTTTCACTTTTATCACTGTAAAACTGGCATAAAAATAGGAGTAATTTCAGGCCCCTGGAATTGTAGTGACACACACACACACACACACACTCACACACACACGGAAAAAACAAACCAAAATAATAGTAGTGACATCTAGGTTTTTCTGTAAGGATTGAATGAGCCAATGCATGTATAGTGCCTAGACGTGTGTCTGGCATACAGTAAGTACGAATATTTTAGCTAATATTATTCACCTATTAAAATATTCTTTATATATCTGTTATATATCTTCATATTCTAGGTAAAAAGGCTAATAGTAATTATCCTAACCTACTAATTAATTACATGAGTTAATTAGCTAATTAGACAGTTTGCCTAGTTCTTCATACATTAATTTACTTCATCCATAATAGAGTGGGACGCATTGTTATTTTCATTTAGAAGTGAACTGAGACATGGGAAAATTAATCAGGGAGCAAATATTCGAACCAGGGTTTTGTGATTTTTAGATCCAGATTAAGATAATGATATGCCCCCACTGAATCTTAGTCAAAGGTTAGTAAGATAAAATCCTAGAAGAGTCAGTCTTCTGCAGGGTAAAAAAGAAAAGTAAATAATTGTGCAGTATGATAACTATAGTAAGAGTATATTCACAAGGTGTTTTGGGAGCACAGAACACATAGGGATTACATTGTTTTTCACTGGGGCTTGGATGGCCCTTGGGTTCGGGGATTATGTTTCAGCAGAGTACACAAAATTATGTCAAATAAAACATTAGACTTAATATTCAGCCTATAGATAAAAAAATAAATAATCCAGTGTCTCTGTGTCATTAAGTAGTCAGAGATGATATTTTTGATAACACAAGTAGCAAGATAAAATATTCTAATTAGTGGAGTAATTGAATAAATGCTGCCTGAGTGGTCATTTTTCTAAGTGGTACAGTTTCATATTATATTATTTCACCCAGCTCACTCCAGCATTTCAATCATGCTGGATTCAAGCATGCTCTTTTGGCCAGCACTGCTCGCACATTACTGTTATCTCATACTTGCATCATTTCATAAATTTGCAAATTATCCTGGTTGCAGCTATGGACCCCTTTCATTCAGCACAGCCAGGGTGACATTCCTAAAATGTAAATCTGTTCACATTCGCTTATAACTTAAAAATATAATAAAAATATCCCCCCCCCCACTTGTCTACAGAATAAAGTCTCATCACTCCAGTGGGATCATCTTTCCCTTTCCTATCTGTTCAAATTTATCTCCTTTTATGACACACATACACCTTATATTCCACTCATAGCAAATTTAGTTTCTAAAATGTTGAACCTGTCATCACCCAGGTCAGTGCAGGGAATATAGCAACTGATAAATATTGTTGACTGAAGGGACAGAAAGAAGGGCTGGCATAGTGGCTCATGCCTGTAATCTCAGCACTTTGGGAGGCCGAGGAGGGTGAATCATGAGGTCAGGAGTTCGAGGCCAGCCTGGCCAAGATGGGGAAACCCTGTCTCTACTAAAAGTACAAAAATTAGCAGGGCGCGGTGGCGGGTACCTGCAATCCCAGCTACTCGGGAGGCTGAGGCAGGAGAATTGCTTGAACCCGGACAGAGGTTGCAGTGAGCCGAGATAGAGCTACTGCACTCCAGCCTGGGTGACAGAGCGAGACTCCATCTCCTAAAAGAAAGAAGGAGTGAGCCCTTGTGGTGAGTCATCATCAGTTCATTTCACAACCATCAGAGCCCCCTCTACCTCAGCGAAGGAGAAACTGAGGTACATTTTAATTACTACTACGCCCTGAAACAAACTTCTAGAAAGAGCAAATATTTACTTTTTTAAGGTAGAACATAATTTTTTCTTACCATAAATGACTTCTCTCCAAGTTGAAATACTGTCTGTGCAAATTAGGTTACTTTAGGGCTTACTCACTTGTTGCCTTTTGTTGCAAGTGATCACAGAAAAAGTTGGTTGCAGTGGACCAAGCAAATCCCTGACATTGAAAGACCTTTCATAGCACACACTCATGAAATGACCCTTGAGTTTTTATGATAGGGAAGTGTTTCTGAAACTGCCACATCAAACGGTGCAACTTCCTATAGATATTAGGTAGCCTGGATTTTCTTTTTTTTTTTATCTTCCAATTTATTTATGTATTTCTTCTTTCTTTCATCAATGCTTTATAGTTTTCAGTATATAACTCTTTCATCTCCTTGGTTGCCTATTCCTAAGTATTTTAATTATTTATGTTATTGTAAATGGAATTGTTTTTTATTATTATACTTTAAGTTTTAGGGTACATGTGCACAACATGCAGGTTTGTTACATATGTATACATATGCCACGTTGGTGTGCTGCACCCATGAACTCTCTGTTTCTTGGACTTGTTTGTATTCTGTTCTAAGATGCGGTATAGCATAGTGGTTAAGCCTGGTATCTAAACCAGTTAGCTGGGTTGTAATGCTGCCCTGTCATGTGCCAACAATATGAACTTGGGAAGGTTTAACACTCTGAGTCTCAATTTACTCACTTATAAAGTTGGGACAACAATGGCATTCATTCTTTACTATTGCCTGAAATATAGTTATTGATCATGAAGAGCAAGCTATTTTTATCTTCCCCTTGCAATTATACAAAAACAGGTACCCAGCACATCAGATTCAGTCTTGCGCATAAGGCCACGTCTGGGGCTTGCACTCCAGAAGCACATTTTGCATTGGGACTAAGAAGAAGGTATAAACAATAACTTATATAACGTGACCAAAATTTGTGCCATGAAATATATATAAAAGTAAAGACATTTTGGGGCCAGGAAGGAAGAGACTGTCTTTGTCTTGGGAAATTCTGGTTGATACGTTTATAATAAATGATAGAACTTTAAAATATTTGGATATAAAGAGGAACAGCATTCCATGCAAAAAATATGTATATATATACAATATATAATATTATGAAAAATACGCACACACACAAAGATCCAAAGATTGGAACTGTCAGGAAGGGTCTAGAAAACAGTGATCAAATTTGGCTGAAACAAAAGGAAGAAGCAGGGATGCTGCAAGGACTAGAGGTTTATCATGCAGGTTTTAAAAGCAGGTACTTCAGAATTAAGTAAAGATTGGAATTGAGTTTATATGCTAACTAGCTTTATGGACCCAAGCAAGATATGTATTGTCTCTGCCTTATTTCCCTATGTGAAATGTGAATAAGGTTACTGATTTCATTTGTAAAGTGCTTAACACAATGCTTGACCTATAATTTATGAGTAAAAACCATAACACTTTCTTCTTCTCCTTTTTCATAGTTATAGAATATTTAGTCTTTTTGGTTAAAAAGTTGGAAGATTCCAGATGGAAATACATAAAACGACACAAATCTACCTATATATGCTGAATATCTCCTGTTTGCCTCTGCAGGTCCACTTTTCACGTTCCCACTCCCTGCTCTGTACCCTGAGAGGCTGAAATTTATACACTGCATGAGGGTTTACTTGTCCATTGGTCATGATGCTTTGGGCCAAAGGAAGTCTTGGCATGAGATAGGAGGGAGGAAGAGGAGTTAATTCAAGGCATTGATTACCCCAGTCCCCACTCCGTTCCTCCCCATAGGTCTGCTTCAGTCTGGCAGCATCCCTTCAGAGACAGATTTCAGCTGTCAGATGACCCTCTCCTTATAGCCATTTTTGTTATTTACACTATAATAATGGGTCTTGACTTGCCAAATAAATAATATCCTTAGTCTCATCTCTTGAAGACCCAGTGTCTTAATGAAATCCTGCTATTACTGCCTTTTGGGTACAATACTATACAATGTGGTTTTTGATTGATCACATCTTTGTAGGCAGCCTTTTTATCAAATCCTCCTCAAATTGTTTTTGAGTATGTCTTCTGGTTTTTCAGGGATCCTAAATAATATATGTGAATGTATTAGAAAAATGCAATTGCATGTGTATTCAAAATAAAATGGAAATAAGAGCCATATAAAAAGGACATGATTTTTAAAAATAAGATATTTTCGTAGTGATCTGCAATTCCTTATATATTTTCAGATATTCTTAGTGTGTAATTGTATGCAAACATTAGTATGAATGATTGAAAATAAATTTTACATATTAACATGAAGTTTGTTTTTTAAACTAAATATTTCTTTCATTTTTAATGATTGTATTTCTGAAATATATGTCTAGTTTTCTGTTTTCTTAAAGTATTTAGGAAATTTACTTTCATTAAGGCAAGGTTTTAATTCTCTTGAGTTTAGAATTATAGAAAAAGTTAATGTGATTTTCAAATATAAACAAGCCGTCAAGTGGGCAGCATTCCTAAAGACAACACTTTCTGTTAAAACATAAGATTATAGCATATGGGCTCCTAGAACATAAAAAAATAAAAGAACATTACTAAGAATAAGTTCTGTGCATTATGGTTAAGTTTTATTCTATGGATTTCACTTAAGTTTTCACTTTAAATATTTCTTATAAGAAAATATCACATTCAAAAATAGGCCAGGTGTGGTGGCTCATGCCTATAATTCCAGCACTTTGGGAGGCTGAGGCTGGCGGATCACTTGAGGTCAGGAGTTTGAGACTAGCCCGGCCAACATGGTGAAATCCTATCTCTACCAAAAATACAAAAATTAGCTGAGCGTGATGGCCTGCGCCTGTAGTCTCAGCTACTTGGGAGGCTGAGGCAGGAGAATTGCTTGAACCTGGGAGATAGAGTTTGCAATGAACTTAGCTTGTGTCACTGCACTCCAGCCTGGCTGACAGAGCGAGACTCCATCTCCAAAACAACAACAACAACAACAAAAATAACAACAAATTAAAAAATAGACTAATTAGTAACTTTTATGAATAATAATCCAGAAAAATGAAGCTAGTCATTGAAATAAAGTTGTTCCCCCCCCCCACTTTCCAAGGGTTCTAGTTAGCTATCATCCATACTTTCTCAAGAGATGCAGTACCAGAAGTACACTTTATTTTTGAACCTACTTCTGCCTTTAAATACTACATCCTCTCCAGTCTGCCTTGATGAGCAAGGATCAGTAACACCTTGAAAGCATATACAAAGTCCAAAGGCTACTATGTCAACAAAGACCTAAATTCTGTTGGATAAAAAGAGAGTCCCTGCCAGTTTCATTTATCATGTTTAAAATACCTTCTTTTCATCAAAGCAAACGTTCCTTGGTTCATTGTTGTGAATGAGGAGAAAGAAGGAGTACTGCTCTGAAGTAACAGTTCGATGACAACACACCTATTTCAAAACCTGTCTTTCTATTCTGTTAGTGGTACTGTAGATTTTTCTCATGACTTTTTATCACTCTTCATTTTTTGCCTTTGTCAACTACTGATCTCATCTTGGAGGTAGATGAGATGCTTATCTGATGCCTGGGAAAAAGGGGTTTCATACCAATATGGTAAAGAAATGCTTTTTAGTCTGAGTAAAGGTTATCGTTTCCAGCTTTCCATATACCTCAAATATACTGAGTCTATACCTATACAACTCTTTAAAATTTGCCAAATATTAGATACTATTTCTTCTATGAGGAAGAGTAATATAAAGATAAAACAAAGGCTTTATATGAGAAAAGAAAATTAAAACGATAAAAATTTTGAACCCATTTATGAATGATCATGAAGAATTACTTTATAAACAAAAATTTTTCCGTCAAGAGAATAATTTATTATCCTGGCTTATTTATAGAGGCAAGAGCAAATAATCATAGATGAGCTGTAAATGAAATGAAATCTGTATTAGTCATGGTTCTCTAGAGGGACAAAACTAACAGCATATATGTATATATGAAAGGGAATTTAGGAAGGAGAATTGACTCATACGATCCCAAGGTGTAGTCCCATGATAGGCCGTCTGCAAGCTAAGGAGAAAGGAAGCCAGTAGTGACTCAGTCCAAGTCCCAAAACCTCAAAAGTAGGGAAGCCAACAGTGCAGACTTCAGTCTGTGACCAAAGGCTTGAGAGCCCCTGGAAAACCACTGGTATAAGTCCAAGAGTCCAAAGGCCAAAGAACTTGCAGTCTGATGTTCATGGGCAGGAAGCACCCATCACAGGAGAAAGATAAAGGCTGAAATACTCAGCAAGTTAGCTTCTCCCACCTTCTCCTGCTTGCTTTTTCCAGCCATACTGGCAGCAGATTGGATGGTGCCCATCCATATTGTGGATGGGTCTTCCTGAGGAATGTGGGTGGGCATTCCTGAGCATGGGTCTTTCTCTCCCAGTCCACTGATTCAAATCTGAATCTCTTCTGGCAATACCAAGAAACACCCAGATACACCCAGAAACAATACTTTGCATCCTTCAATCCAATCAAGTTGACACTTAATATTAATCATCACAGAATCGAAATGAAACTAAAAGAAGAAAAAAGATTATTAAGTTGTTTAACTGATTTTGTCTTTTCCTAATTTAGGTTCAAGGAAGGATACTATGTTTTCCAAAATTAAGGTTGCCCATTTCTAACATTTCATATTTGAGGGCATGAAAATTTCTTCGTTTCTTCCTTCTCTTTTTCCTTCTCCTCGAGTGGGGCAGATATATATTTTATCATTTTGATTAAAACTATCAGATTATTTGAATGATTTAGGAAACAATAAAGAGGATAAAATTCATAGAGACAAAATATAGCTACAAAGATGAATTCAATTTCATCAGTTGGTCAAAGTTCAAAACTCAAATTAGAGGCCCAAAGGTAATACTTAATTTCAAAGGACTACATAATGCTTCCCCTTTTCCGACACATACCATCACATTAAGAGGACTGGTATAATAGCAGATATTATAGCTAAAACATGCAATTAAAATCAGAGAAGGCAGACAAAAAGGCGAAGATGGAAAAGAAACAAAGGACAAGTGCAATGAACAGAACACAGCTAAAAAACACAAGAGATTTTAATTTAATTATATCAATAAGTACTTTAAATGTGTCAATAAGCACTTCAATTGGTGTTTAAAAACTGTTTGTCAGAGTCTACATGAAATACAGTTGCTTTCTTTTCTTTTCCTTTCTTTTCCATTCCTTTCTTTTCTTTTTTTCAAATGGAGTCTTGCTTTGTCACCCAGGCTGGAGTGCAGTGGCACAATCTCAGCTCACTGCAACCTCCACCTCCTGGGCTCAAGCAATTCTCCTGCCTCAGCCTCCCAAGTAGCTGGGACTACAGGCATGCACCACCACGCCTGGCTAATTTTTGTATTTTTAGTAGAGACAGGGTTTCCCATTTTGGCCAGGCTGGTCTTGAACTCCTGACCTCAAGTGATCTGCCCACCTCAGCCTCCCAAAGTGCTGAGATTACAGGTGTGAGCCACTGCACCTGGCCAAGAAATACAGTTTTAATATAAAGATATAGATTAAGGAAAATGGTTGGGAAAAATATATTAACACTAATCAAAAGAAAACTGAAATAGCTATATTAATTTCATACAAAACAGACTTCAGAACATGGGAAATTATCTGGGATAAAGAGGTACATTGCATGATAATAAAGATACCAATCTCCAAGAGGATATACAAATGCTAAATGTGTATCTACCTAAAAATCAGAAAGTTAAAGTACATGAGACAAAAACCGATAGAATTAGGAAGAGAAAAAGAAAAGCCCATGATTATAGTTGAAGACTTTAACACCTACTATTCATGATTCACAGATCTGGCAGGCAATAAGTCAGTTTGCATATAGCTGAATTGAATGACACCATCAACCAAATGGTTCTAATGGACATTTGAAGAAAATTAATCCATCACCAAAATGCACATTCTCTTCAAGCTTACATGGGACATTCAGAAAAAATAGATCATATTCTGTACAATAAAATACAACTTAACAAAATTTTAAAAATATCATAAAATATGCTCTTAGGCCCCAATAGAATTAAACTAGAAATGAATAAGAAAAATAGCTAAGAAATCTCTAAGTAATTGTACATTAAACAGCACAATACTAGATAACATATGGGTCAAAGAGTAAGTATAAAGAAAAACGAAATATTTTGAACTAATGAAAAGGGAAATATACCATCAAAATTTGTAGGATGCAGCAAAAGTAGTGCTTAAAGGGAAATTTATAGCATCAAATGCATATATTAGAAAAGTGGAAGGATCTAAAATCATTGATCTATGCTTTTATGGTCTCACTCATAGGTGGGAATTGAACAATGAGAACACATGGACACAGGAAGGGGAACATCACACTCCAGGGTCTGTTGTGGGGTAGGGGGAGAGGGGAGGGATAGCATTAGGAGATATACCTAATGCTAAATGATGAGTTAATGGGTGCAGCACACCAACATGGCACATGTATACATATGTAACAAACCTGCACATTGTGCACATGTACCCTAAAACTTAAAGCATAATAATAATAATAATAAAAGAATTTTAAGAAAAAAAAAAAAAGAAAGAAACATCACTTAGAAATCTGAAAAAAAAAAAAGAAAAGAAACTAGAGGAAGAAAAGCACCTAAACCTAAACCTAAAACAAGCAGAATAAAGTAAATAATAAAAAAATAGAGCAGAAATCAATAAAATAAAATCAGGAAATCAATAGAGAAAGTCAAGAAAATCAAAAGTGGTCCATTAAAAAAAAAATCAGTGAACGCGATAAAGCTCTAGCCAAGCTAATGTAGAAAAATACCAGTGATGACAAAAATTATTCCTGTCAGACACACACACAAACATCATATTTCTACTGATCCCATGGACATTAAGAAGATAGTAAAGAAATATTATGAAGAACTCTTTGTCCACAAATTTGGTAATCTAGATGAAACAGGACAATTCTTTGAAAAAAAAAATCTAACAAAGTTTACAAAAGGAAAGGTAAATTATCCTAATCGACCTGTATCTGTTAACAATTGAATCAATTATTAACAAGTTTCTAAAGAAGAAAGCATCAAGCCCAGATGATTTCACTGGTGAATTCTACAAAACATTTAAGGAAGAAATGACACCAATTCTCTACAACTGAAACAAAAAACCTTGAGACAGGAAAGAAGAAATACCTTAATCAAAAGAGTTGCCAAAATAGCAAATAAATAAAATTTAAAAATAAAAACATGACAATTGTTAAATAAATTCTAGAACATTTTTTTGAGAGAAGTGTGGCAGATGATATAAAAGTGATAAAACAATTAGCCATTAGCTAAGTTATTGAAGCATGAAAATAATGAAGGATAAAGCACAAATACACATAGCTTCAATTAAAATTGAGAAAATTGTCTGAGGTAGAGATCAATGCAAATGTCTTTTAGGGGAAAATCTGCTAAATTAATATAATGGAAAATTAGAATTAAGACTAAAACATTAATTTTATCAATAGTCTTTCTGAAAGACATGGTGGATATAAAATCAAAAACAAAAATAAAATTGCATTGGAAGAAATTTAAAAAGTTTTCCAAGATCTACACAGTAATATGAAAAAGGATTCAGTGGCAGATGGCTTTGCAAGCAAATATGTTCAAAGCTTCATAAGCAGATAATTACAGTATAATTTATAACATTTAATGGCATAGAAAACATAAATATTTCAGAACATATTTTATGTAATTAAAATTATCCGAAAACAAACTTTTAAAAAATAGCTCAAAAATTAAAATATTTTATAAAAATTAGTACATTTCTGAAGATATATATGTGAAGGTAATATGATGCTGTCCTAGAACCACCTATCGTATAGTTAAAATATAAATATAATATGAAATTATAAATTGTATAAGTTATATAAACACTTCAAGTGAAAAAAAATTACAATTGGTGCCAAAAAGAATCTGATAAAATTGAGAATCTATTCTTAAGTGTAAAAGTCCATATTACAAAGGATTATATGGATATGCCCTTATCATATTAATAAATAATACATGTATAAATACCAAAAATATCAGTGTCAGACTGCAGATTCATCTCCCTTAATATTCAGATTAAATTTCAAAACAAGATGATGAAAAATCCCACAATCACCATTAATATTTTAAGATTGCTTTTTCTGAATCAATTAATGATTGCAGCTGCTTAGTAGTTAATAATACTGGTACCCATGAAAGATCATGAAAATTCTAAGGATAAATAATTGCAAAGAGAAAAAACAGGATGACAACATAGCCAGTCATTTTTTAAGAAGTAGCACCCTTCCAGCAAAGTGCTATTTTATTTCAACTTGGTAGCTTGAATTTTTTTAGAGACTAGAATTAGCCTCATTTATTTATGGAGTCATAGTCTAAGAGCTAGAGAAACTTTCTTTTGAAAAATACAATGATTCTTTTTGCCAAATCTCAGTTGCACCATCTGTGAATAACGAAAACAATGCCAATGTAGAGCTCTGAGCAGTCAGAGAATTGGAGTATTTCCTTGCAGTCTGGTTCTGAAACTTCTTCCAGACATCCTTTGGGAATGAATGATACTACCTGGCAGATGCCTGTGATCTCAGAAGTCTTCAACCTTGGAGCTGAATCATGCTGGCAAAGAATATAATCATCTAACTAAATGTCCAGAGGGAAAAGCTAGCTAGTTTTCTACACAATCCTCCCACATATCCATGAGGAATTCTTAGAGGAAAATGAGGCAGTAGGCATCTTTTGAATCTGCATGATAATAGAATAGTTATGAAATATGTTTACTTTCTACTTATTTGTAAACCTCTGGCTCATTGATGAAGGAATAATTATACAAAATAGACAAATATGAAATAGCAAACTATTTTGCTTATTAAGAAATTACAAGGTATAAATGCAGAGTTTAAAATTAATCTGTGATAGTAATGATCAAGTAGAGATATGTGATTTCATACAGTGATCTGTTATGCAAAGATCAATAAGACCACAGTCAACATGTATGATTATTAAACAAGTAGAGAGGTCCTTTTCAGAGTGGTAAAAATTATAAAGCTTTACTGACAAACCCATAGAAACATAAGTGATAAAAATGTATCACCAGGGAAAAATATACATTTCTAATTTTTTTAGAATTAACTATTGAATAAAATGGCAAATTTATGGTCAAAATATTTAATCTATTATGGTAGACAGTCAATTTATTTGGGGATTGATAAATTCCTGATTTGTTTGTTACCCATATAATGAATATAAAACCATTTAATATTTAGGAAGAAATGAGGATTATAAAATATTTATCTGTAAATAATATTCATATATATTTAAAAATCTTTATTTTATTTAAAATGGTAAGAATAAATAGTAACAAGGCTTAGCCCTGTAGTCCCAGCTTCCAGGTCTAATTAACTGCCAAGCTGTCCCCTGAGGCCTCAGGTTAGAGACAGGCTCCAGTCAACACAGACTTTAGGCCTACTTCTCCACCATGCTGATGTCTACAGCCCCAGACTCCAGGCTAGAACCTGCAGACCAAACTTCCAGGTCTGCAGAAGCACTAAAGCACCAACTATGCTGACACTTGGACTCTGGCTTTCTGCTAGCTCTCACAGACCCAGGTTCCAAGCCCATCCCATTGCCACACCAGCCCCGGCCTCCAAGGTAGTTCCCACGTCCCCCAGCTTTAGCAGATCCAGGGTGCACATCCATCCTTGTGTACTCAGGCACTAGTCCACACTGCCCAAGGACTTCAGCAGCAAGTCTGCCTACAGATTCTTCCAGACAGTCTGCCCAGAATCTCTGGGCAGGCACCTGAATATATGAAGCAAATACTAACGGAACTGAAGGAAGAAATAGACAGCAGTGTAATAATAGTAGGGGTCTGCAATAAACCACCTTCTATAAGGGAGATATCATCCAGACAAAAGCAATCAGTAGAGAAACAGTTAACTGGTACAACACTACACACCACAAGAACCTAACAGACATATATAAAACATTCCATCCATCAGCAGCCCCATACATGTTCTTTTAAGGGCACACAGAATATTCTCCAGGATAGACTATATATTAGATCACTAAACAAGTCTTAATAAATTTAAGAAGATTGAAATCATGTCAATTCTTGTTTTTATTGACAACAGCATGAATTAACTAGAAAACAATAACAGGAAGAAAATTGAAAAATTCACAACTTTGTGTAAATTAAACAGTATAATCCTGAATAACAAATGCATCAAAGAAATCAAGAAGAAACTCAAAAAATATCTTGAGGCAGATGAAAATGGAAACACGACATGCCAAAACTTATGCGATACAGATAAAAACAGGACTAAGAGGAAAGTTTATACTGGAAAATAATGCCCACATTAAGAAAAAAACCTTAAATAACCAAACAAACTTTGCAACTCAAGAAACTTGAAAAAGAAAAATAAACTAAGCACAAAGTCAGCAGAGGAAAGGAAATAAAAAATAGGAACATGTTTACACTGTTCGTAGGACTGTAAACTAGTTCAACCATTGTGGAAGACAGTGTGGCGATTCCTCAAGGATCTAGAAATAGAAATACCATTTGACCCAGCCATCCCATTACTGGGTATATACCCAAATTGTGTCCGGAATTGGTGGGTTCTTGGTCTCACTGACTTCAAGAATGAAACCACGGATCCTCGCGGTGAGTGTTACAGCTCTTAAGGTGGCGCGTCTGGAGTTTGTTCCTTCTGATGTTCGAATGTGTTTGGAGTTTCTTCCTTCTGGTGGGTTCGTGGTCTCGCTGGCTCAGGAGTGAAGCTGCAGACCTTCACGGTGAGTGTTACAGCTCTTAGGGTGGCGCGTCTGGAGTTTGTTCCTTCTGATGTTCGGATGTGTTTGGAGTTTCTTCCTTCTGGTGGGTTCGTGGTCTCGCTGGCTCAGGAGTGAAGCTGCAGACCTTCGAGGTGAGTGTTACAGCTCCTAAGGCGGCACATCTGGAGTTGTTTTTTCCTCCCGGTGGGCTTGTGGTCTCTCTGGCTTTAGGAATGAAGCTGCAGACCTTCGCAGTGAGTGTTATAGCTCATAAAAGCAGTGTGGACCCAAAGAGTGAGCAGTAGCAAGATTTATTGCAAAGAGCGAAAGAACAAAGCTTCCACAGTGTGGAAGGGGACTCGAGCGCGTTGCCACTGCTGGCGTGGGTTGCCACTGCTGGTGCCAGCAGCCTGCTTTTATTCTCTTATCTGGCCCCACCCACATCCTGCTGATTGGTAGAGCTGAGTGGTCTGTTTTGGCAGGGTGCTGATTAGTGCATTTACAATCTCTGAGCTAGACACAAAGGTTCTCCATGTCCCCACCAGATTAGCTAGATACAGAGTGTCCACACAAAGGTTCTCCAAGGCCCCACCAGAGTAGCTAGATACAGACTGTCGACTGGTGCATTCACAAACCCTGACCTAGACACAGGGTGCTGATTGGTGTGTTTACAAACCTTGAGCTAGATACAGAGTGCCGATTGGTGTATTTACAATCTCTGAGCTAGACATAAAGATTCTCCACCTCCCCACCAGACTCAGGAGCCCAGCTGGCTTCACCCAGTGGATCCCATACCAGGGCTGCAGGTGGAGCTGCCTGCCAGTCCCACGCTGTGCGCCCGCACTCCTCAGCCCTTGGGTGGTCGATGGGACTGGGCGCCATGGAGCAGGGGGCTGCGCTCATCTGGGAGGCTCCAGCTGCACAGGAGCCCATGGAGGGGGTGGGAGGCTCAGGCATGGCGGGCTGCAGGTCCAGAGCCCTGCCCGGGGGGAAGGCAGCTAAGGCCCGGTGAGAAATTGAGCATAGCAGTTGCTGGCCCAGGTGCTAAGTCCCTCACTGCCCAGGGCGGTGGGGCCTGCCAGCCGCTCCAAGCGCGGGTTCCGCCGAGCCCACGCCCACCCGGAACTCACGCTGGCCGGCAAGCACCGCAAGCAGCCCCGGTTCCGCCCGCGCCTCTCCCTCCACACCTCCCTGCAAGCTGAGGGAGCCGGCTCCGGCCTTGGCCAGCCCAGAAAGGGGCTCCCACAGTGCAGCGGTGGGCTGAAGGGCTCCTCAAGTGCGGCCAAAGTAGGAGCCCAGGCAGAGGAGGGGCTGAGAGCGAGCGAGGGCTGTGAGGACAGCCAGCACGCTGTCACCTCTCAAAAGGATTATAAATCATGCTGCTATAAAGACACATGCACACGTATGTTTATTGTGGCACTATTCACAATAGCAAAGACTTGGAACCAACTCAAATGTCCATCAATAATAGACTGGATTAAGAAAATGTGGCCCATATAACACCATGGAATACTGTGCAGACATAAAAAGGATGAGTTCATGTCCTTTGCAGGGACTTGGATGAAGCTAGAAACCATCATTCTGAGCAAACTATCACAAGGACAGAAAACCAAACACCACATGTTCTCACTCATAGGTGGGAACTGAACAATGAGAACACTTGGACACAGGATGGGGAACATCACACACCGGGGCCTGTGGTGGGGTGGGGGAAGGGGGAGGGATAGCATGAGGAGATATACCTAATGTAAATGACGAGTTAATGGGTGCAGCACACCAACATGGCACATGTATACATATGTAACAAACCTGCACGTTGTACACATGTACCCTAGAACTTAAAGTATAATAATAATATAAAAAGACTGGATCACAAGCAAATGAAATAGAGACTGCAAAAACAATGAAAAAGATAAATGAAACTAAGAATTGTTTTTGGAAAGATAAAACTGACCAAATTTTATCTAGACTAAGAAAAGGAGAGAAGACTCAAACAGCACACCAACGTGGCACATGTATACATATGTAACAAACCTGCATGTTGTGCACATGTACCCTAGAACTTAAAGTATAATAATAATAATAATAATAATAAAAAGATTGGATCACAATTAAATGAAATAGAGACTAGAAAAACAATGAAAAAGATAAACGAAACTAAGAATTGTTTTTGGAAAGATAAAACTGACCAAATTTTATCTAGACTAAGAAAAAGAGAGAAGACTCAAACAGCACACCAACATAGCACATGTATACATATGTAAAAAACCTGCACGTTGTGCACATGTACCCTAGAACTTAAAGTATAATAATAATAATTAAAAAAAAGAAAATTGTAAATGGAAGAGGGGACATTAAACTGATACCAAGAAATACAAAGGATCATACATAAGTGACTACGATAAAAAATTATATGCCAACAAATTGGATAACCTAGAAGAAATGGATAAATTTTTGGAAACATACAACCTACCAAAATTGAATCACGAATAGAAAATCTGAGCAGTCTAAGGATTAAGGAGAAAAAACCCTAGGACCTAATGTCTTCACTGCTGAATTCTGCCTAACATTTAAGGAAGAATTAATGCTAATCCTTCTTATAGTCTTCCAAATAACTGAAAAGGAAGGAACACTTCCAAATTTATTTCATGAGGCCAGCATTATGCAAAACCAGACAAGCCCACTAAAGAATTACAGGCACTATTGCTGCAGAACATAGCTGCAAAAATCTTCAACAGAATTCTTGAAAACCAAACTGCAGATATTAACAGGATCATACCTCATGATCAAGTGGTATTTATCCCTGGGATGCATGGATGGCTCAACATATGCAAATCAAGAAATGTGCTGCACCACATTAACAGAATGAACGATAAAAATGATGTGATTATCTCAATAGGTGGTTTTTCATGAAAAATTCAAAGGAATAGATTTTAAGACTTCAAACAATTTTGTTGTCCTTTTGAAAGGGAAAAAAGGGTATAGAACAACCAAGAGAAATTTTAAGAGACTGTAACAATGGGGTAATGAGGTATTGTTTATTTTAGAAATATAAAAATTTTAGACCACAATAAAAGGAGAGAAACAGTTCTGAGTATAGGTGAAATGTAGTATTGGATACATTTATAATTTTTAATTAGTGGGAAAATTATGAAGTATTTCCAAAATGCTTTTGAAATAATTTATCATCCTTTAGTTGAAAAAGTTCTTATATCTTTATTTCAATATAAATGCCAAAAAAGTGTGGAATGGAATAATTTCTTAAGATGAAAAGAAAACCTTGAAACCATTTAAAAAGACAACATTTTAAAAGTTGTATGTATGTCATAAAACCTATGCTAAACCATGAAGGAAAATGTTTCCATGATCTTGTTTAATAATATAAATGTCTACACTTCAACACAACCTCTAATTTTATTATAATACAACACATGTGCCAAACAGCATTTATTGACTTTATGATATATAAATAACTAAGAAAATGTATACGAAAAATGAGCATCCATAAATAAGTAATATAAGCAATTAACTAACAAAATTATTTGTATATATGTATTTATATTATTAAATACAAATGAAAATATATCATAGGATTTTTGCACACATATTTGACAGAGATATTGACCTGTAGTTTTCTTTTTTTGTTCTGTCTCTGCCAGGTTTTGGTATCAGGATTATGCTGGCTTCATAGAAGGAGTTAAGGAGGAGTCTCTCCTCCTCAATATTGAGAATAGTTTCAGTAGGATTGATTCCAGCTCTACTTTGTACATCTGTTAGAATTGGGCTATGGATCCATCTGTTTCAGAGCTTTTTTGCTTGGTAGAATTTTATTACTGATGCCATTCCAGAATTCATTATTAATCTGTTCAGGATTTTGATTTGTTCCTGATTCAATCTTGGGATGTTTTATATTTCCAGGAATTTATCCATTTCCTCTAGATTGTCACTTTGTGTGCATAGAGATATTTGTAGTCATCTCTGAGGATCATTTGTAATTCTTTGAGATTGGTTGTAATGTCATCTTTGTCATTTTTTATCGTGCTTATTAGGATCTTTTCTTTGTTAGTCTTGCTAGCAGTCTATCAATTTTGTTTATCCTTACAAAGAACCAATTTTTGGTTTCATTGATCTTTTGTATGGATTTTTGAAAATCCTCAACAAAACACTAGCCACCCAAATCCAGGAGCACATCAAAAAGTTAATTCACCACAATCAAGTAGGCATTATTTCTGGGATCCAAGGAAGGTTCAACATACACAAATCAATAATTTATGTGATTCACTACATAAATAGAATTAAAGGCAAAAAACATAATGATCATCTCAACAGACAGAGAAAAATCTTACAATAAAATCCAACGTCCCTTCACAAAAAAAGCCCTCAACAAACTAGGCAATAAAGGAATATACCTCAAAATAATGAGTCATCTATGACAAACCCACAACCAACACCATACTGAATGGGCAAAAGCTGAAAGTATTCCTCTGGAGAACTGGAATAAAACAAGGATGCCCACTGTCACCACTCGTATAGAGTATAGTACTGGAAGTCTTAGAGCAATCAGGCAAGAGAAAGAAAGAAAAGGCATCCAAACAGGAAAAAAAAAAAAAAAAAAAAAGACAAACTACCACTCTTTGCTGAAGATGATTCTATACTTAGAAAACCCTAAAGATTACCAAAAGGCTCCTTGAACTGATAAATTGCTTCAGTAAAGTTTCAGGATACAAAATCAACTTACAAATACCAGCAGCATGTCTATACACCAATAATTCTCAAGCTGAGCACCAAATCAAAAATACAATTCCATTTACAATGGCAACAAAAATACAAGGAGAGGCTTGGTGCAGTGGCTTATGCCTGTAATCCCAGCACTTTGGGAGGCCGAGGTGGGCAGATCACAAGGTCAGGAGATCGAGACCATCCTGTGTAACATGGTGAAACCCCATCTCTACTAAAAATACAAAAAATTAGCCGGGCATGGTGGCGGGCACCTGTGGTCCCAACTACTCGGGAGGCTGAGGCAGGAGAATGGCATGAACCCGGGAGGAGGAGCGTGCAGTGAGCCGAGATCACGCCACTGCACTCCAGCCTGGGCGACAGAGTGAGACTCCACCTCAAAAAAAAAAAAAAAAAAAAACCACAAAAAAAACTAGGATAAATACAAAACTCTTCTGAAATAAATCATAGATGACACAAACAAAGAGAAAACCATTCCATGCTCATGGAGTGTTGGAATCAATATTATTAAAATGACCATACTGACCAAAGAAATGTACATATTCAGTGTTATCACTATCAAACTAATGTATTTTTCACAGAGTTAGAGAGAGACTATTCTAAAATTTATATAGGACCAAAAACTAGCCCAAACATCCTAAGCAACTGTAAGCCAAAAGAATAAAGCTGGAAGCATCACATTACTAACTTCAAATTATACTACAAGGCTGTAGTAACCAAACCAGCATGGTACTGGTACAAGAGCAGACATATAGACCAATGGAGCAGAATACAGAACCCAGAAATAAAGCTGCACATCTTTGAGAAAGTCGACAAAAATAAACAATAGAGAAAGGACTTTCTGTACAATAAATAATGTTGGGATAACTGGCTATCCATATGCAAAAGAATGAAACTGGACTCCTACCTATGGTCATACACAAAAATTAACTTAAATGGATTAAAGACTTATGTCAGACCTCAAACTATAAAAATCCTAGTAGAAAACCTAGAAAATACCCTTCTTGACATTGGCCTTAGCAAATAATTTATGGCTAAGTCCTCAAAAGCAATTTCAACTAAAACAAGAAAATGACAAGTGGGACCTAGCTAAACTAAAGAGCTTCTGCACAGTAAGAGAAACTATAAAGTAAGTGAAGAGAAAGCCTACAGAATCAGAGAAAATATTCACAAACTATGCATCTGACAAAGGCCTAATATCCAGAACTTAAAT
The DNA here is from genome assembly GCF_000001405.40 of Homo sapiens. Classification (NCBI taxonomy): domain Eukaryota; kingdom Metazoa; phylum Chordata; class Mammalia; order Primates; family Hominidae; genus Homo; species Homo sapiens. The sequence goes on from NC_000009.12 coordinate 102,492,092, forward strand.
CAACAAGCAAAAAATGAAAAATCCCATTAAAAAGAGGGCAAAAGACTTGAACAGACACTTCTCAAAAGAGGACATACAACTGGCCAAGAAACATATGAAAAAATTCTCATTATCACTAATTATCAAAGAAATGGAACTCAAAACCACAATGGATATCATCTTATACTAGTCAGAATGGCTTTTTTTTTTTTTTTAAAGTCAAAAATAACAGATGCTGGCGGGGCTACAGAGAAAAGGGAACACTTATCCACTGTTGGTGGGAATGTAAATTAGCTCAGCCACTGTGGAGAGCGGTTTGGAGATTTCTCAAAGAACTTACAAGAAAAGTACCATTGGATCCAGGAACCCCATTGCTGTGTATATGCCCCAGGGAAAATAAATTATTCTACCAAAAAGACACATGCATATGTTCATCACAGCACTATTCACAATAGCAAAGACATAGGACCAACCCAGGTGCCCATCAACAGTGGAATGGATGAGGAAAATATTATATATATAGATGTATATAATATTTTATATAGAAAATAACAAAATCATATCCTTCGCACAACATGAATGCTAGAGGCCATTATTCTAAGTGAACTAACAGAAACGGAGAAACGAATACCACATGTTCTCATTGTTAAACTTTTGGTACACATGGACGTAAAAATGGGAACAACAGACACTGGAGAATAAAAGAGGTAAGGACTGAAAAACTATCTACTGGGTACTATCCTCTCTTCCTGGGTGATGGGTTCAAGCATACTCAAAACCTCAGCATCATGCAATATGTCTTTGTAACAAACCTGTACATGTACTCCTAATTCTAATGAAAAAAATGAAAGTTGAATTAAAAAAATGTAATAGTTAATTTGCTAGGGCTGCTATAACAAAATACCACAGCATGGTGACTTAAAAAAACAGAATTTATTTTATTATAATTCTGGATGCTAGAGGTCTGAGGGCAGGGTGTTGGCAGTTTTGATGTCTCCTGGGGTCTCTGTTTGGCTTGCAGATGACCACCTGCTCATTGTGTCCTAACATGACCTTTCATCTGGATGCAGGCACCTTCATGTCTCCCTGTGTGTCCAAATTTCCTCCCTTTTTAAGGATACCAGTCAGATTCGATTTGTGCCCAACCTAATGGCTTCATTTCAAATTAACCTGCACTTTGAAGAGCTTATCCCTAAACATAGTCACATTTTGAGCTACTGAGGGTTAGGACTTTAATATGTGAATTTTGGGGAGATATAATTCAGCCTTGGTCTCTGTGGCTATAAGACAAAGAACCTCGGGTGTCACCCTAGATAATGAGGTTGCTTGACTTTAAGAAAAAAATTCCACTTATAGAGTATACCTTTATTTTTAATTTTTGTGGGTACATATTCTGTGTATATATCTATGGGGTACTATGTGGTACATGTGATGTTTTGATGCAAGTATGCAATGTGAAATAATCACATCATGGAGAATGGGGTATCCATCCTCTCAAGCACTTACTTTTTTGATACAAACAATACAGTTATGCTTTTTAGTTATTTTTAAATATACAATTAAATTATTATTGACTATGGTCACTCTATTGTGCTATCAAATAGTAGGACTTGTTTGTTCTTTCTATTATTTTTAACTCATTAAACATCCACACCTCCCCCTTCACGCTCTGTCCCTCCATGACTCTTCTCAGCCTCTGGTAACCATCCTTCTACTGTCTATGTCCATGAGTTCACTTGTTTTGATTTTTAGATCCCACAAATATGTGAGAACGTGTGATGTTTGTCTTTCTGTGCCTGGCTTATTTCACTTTATATAATGATCTCACATTACATCCATGTTGTTGCAAATAACTGGATCTCTTTTTTTATGACTGAATAGTACTTCATTGTGTATTGTACCACACTTTCTTTATCCATTCATCTGTTGATGGACACTTAGGTTGCTTCCAAATCTTAGTTATTGTGAACAGTGATGCATGAAATATGGGAGTGCAGGTATCTCTTCTATACACTGATTTCCTTTCTTTTGGGTATACAACCAATGGTTGTATTGCTGGATCATATGGTAGCTCTATTTTTAGTTTTGTGAGGAACCTCCAAACTGTTCTTCATAGTGGAGAATGCATGGAATGCAACTTTATGTAATAATATATCTATACAAAGAAATGTGCATAAAGAACCACTCTATACATATATTAATATTAGAAGATTGAAGGCAATCTTAATGCCTACAGCAAATAATTAGTTTACATAATTTATTCATAATCCATTGGGCTAGGCTCTATACAGCCTTTAAAACCAGATTGGAAGAGAATACTTACTGATTCATGAAAAGGATGTGTAAAAAATTCTAGTTAATAAACAATGAGAAGTTATAAGATATCATATATGTATATGCATTTCTTTCTGTAGTAGGGGGTAAGATGGATTTCTGTTGTGTTGGTGGTACACTTTTATATTTATTTTTCCTTCTATTTTTGTATTTCCACATTTGCTTTACAGAACAAATATCACTTTAATTCAAAAATAACCATATTATCAACAGGGGAATATGAAAGAGAATAAGCAATGAAAAATTATTTACATCATTCTCGTCAAATATTTCCTACTAAACAAACAATTCAGTATCGACAGATATTATAAGAAAATAGCATTCAAGGCTGGGCACGCTGGTTCAAGTTTTTAATCCCAGCACTTTGGGCGGCCAAGGGGAGTGAATCATTTGAGACCAGGAGTTTGAGACCAGCCTGGACAACATGGTGAAACCCCGTCTCTGCTAAAAAATACAAAAACTAGACGCACCCATGGTCACAGCAACTCGGGAGGCTGAGGCAGGAGAATTGCTTGAACCTGGAAGGCAGAGGTTGAAGTGAGCTGAGATTGCACCACTGAACTCAAGGCTGGGCAATAGAGTGAGACTCTGTCTCAAAAAATAATAAGAAAGAAAATAGCATTCAAGGATCTTCTAAGTCTTGCTTTATATATAGCCATAACATAAAATGTACAGAAATTTGCAAATATCACAAGCAAATATCAGAATACTTTAAAAACTTCAGAATATTTTCCATTGCCTGCTTTTTGGTAGGCTCATTAGGCAGAAATCATTAAAACATTTGTTCCATATTGCAACATGGTTTTTAAAAACACAAAATTAAATGTAAAATCAAGAATGGCCAGCCAATTTTATTCTCCTTTCTATCCCCTTTCTTCTCATTTATCTGCTCATACTGAATTAATCTAGGACTTTTTAAATCTTATACAACTTTAAAATTGAGATATAACTATTATACCATAGAAATCACCATTTTAAGGTGGATAATTCAGTGGTTTATAGTAAATTAACAAACTTGTGCAACCATCACCCATCTAATTCCCAAACATTTTCATCAACTTCCCAAAAACTCTCTGTATCCATAAGCAGTCATTTTTCACCCCCAGTCCCTGGAAACCAATAGTAGGCTTATTCTTTACAGATTTGCCTATTTGGAACATTTCCTATAAAATGGAATTATGCAATATGTGGCCTTCTATGTCTGGCTTCATTCACTTAACATAATGTTTTCAATGTTTATTCATATTGTAGCATGTATTAGTATTAATTCATTTTTATATCTGAATAATATTCCATTGTATGGATATACCACATTTATTTAGTCATTTATCAGTTGACGAATATTTTTGTTGGTTCAAGTATTTAGCTGTTATGAATAACGCAACTACCATAAAAAAGAGAAAAAATAGCATTTTCTATTTCATGTGTCTCAAGACACACGTGAACACACTGATGTCTGTTGGTAGTTTGAGAATACATTAAATTTAGAGATATACTTTGCAAAAATTAACATCTTCACAGTGTTGAAACTTACATGATCTTTTCTGTCTCTTTTCCACAGCTATTCTACTTCTGATGTTTTTGCTTTGATAACACAGTTTGTTAGCTGAGTTTTACACTCTACTATTTTTTTCTCAATATGGAAACACGTGAGTTGCAATATTTCCAAATGCTGTCTCACAGTCTTGACACTTGGAAAATTTGATTGAGAATAATGTTCATATACCCTTTCCTCATACATTTTTAAACCTGGCTTTATTGGTTTCCAGAATTAATTGTTCATGAATGTATTTCTGATAATCCCGTTGTTATACAAGTTTCTCATTCTGCTGGATGCCTGTACATTTCTTTCTTAATGATTCACATTCGATAATGATGCCACTTCAAAACTGACTCAAGGGCAGTTATTCCTGGGCAATATTCATATTTACATCATTTGATCTGTAAGGTTGACTTCTCTTGTCTTTCATAAGAATTTTCCTAGAACATCTCTTTTTAACACTTTATTTTATTGTTACACTTTCCACTTAGATAAAATCTATTATTCTCATGTCGATAACACCTATATATCTCTTGTAGTATTTTCTTCCTTACTTTAATTGATACTTTTTCCCCATCTTTCATTGTGATGAGATCAGTGCCTATCACTGTAACCTGTCACTGTTTTCAGTGAACACCTGTTGATTTCTGTTCTCCTCTTGTTCTTAGGTCCCTTGGGGGCTGGTGGCAGTCCTCTGCTTCTTCTCACATGGACATGTGCATGGCTTGTGAGTACTGGTACTTTTTTCTATAGTTGTATTTTGGAAACTCATAGTCCTGTTGTGATTGATTTAATCTAATTCCCTTTCTTTAAGTAGGAAATCATTTTTTTTCTTCTCTATGGAAAAATTATCCTGTTTACTTGGTTAAACAGAAATAAAATAAGCAGCACAGGAACAATTTTAAAATCCAAAGAGACACCAACTTTGTTTTAAGGCTGTAGTAGCTGATACAGCATCTGCTCGCTACCTTCTTCAGCCTTCTCTGTGAACGGCAGTGACGTGGTCAGAAGTCTGTTAGCTAACACAGGAGTATTTAAAAAAAAAAAAAAAAACACAACACTTTTCCATTGATTGTTCACCTGCTCCTTGCCTGTCACATGTCAAATGTGGCCCGCAATGGTAACATTTCAGATTCAAGTGAAAGCCAAAAGAGAAAAACAAACTAAAACCAACTTTTGCCTAAAGGTTTGGGGGAAAATCTTCCTTCCACCCATTCACTGAATTGATGGGATTAACATTATTACAGCAATTTCCTATTTACAAGTGTCAAAGGCAGTCAGTACAATGGAAACAAGTACGAGGGAACTTAGCACACACAAAAACAGAAATATGTCAGTCAACAGGGCAGACTGGCTTGTAGCACGGTTGCTGTGTCCAAGGAGAGTTAATCTGATAGTGCATGTTCCCTCTTATCTTGACTGTCTTGGACAACTACAAATTAGGAGATTTAGTCATTTTAACATGAGGCCACATGCCCATTTTAATACTCCTAATTCTGTGCTTACTTTTCTTAAATAGAAAAAATAAAAATTCAGCTGGGTCATTGTTCTACAGTTAAAAATGAAAGCATTTTGCTGACTGGGCTTGAGAGCTAATGATCAGTATTAAGCAAGATTCATAAAAATATACTTACAACCGTCCCACTCACCCAAGTATACCTAACAGGCTATTTAAAAATAACACTCCTTACTCACCCACCTCACCTGCATTGATTTTAGGAGAAAAGGGGTACAGAAAGAAAGATATCTTATCACCCTAAAAACAAAAATAAAAAAGAAATGTTGAAACAAGAAAAGTTCCCTTACCCCCTTGCCGGGCATGTGATGGGGCTGTGACTGGCTGTTTCAGTGCCCCACAGCTCCAGCCCCTAAGGGCAGCATGTAGGCGGGCGGGTCTTGAGGACCATGGGCTCCGACCCCATGGCAGCATTTAGGGCTGAATGTTACAGCTCTCGAAACCCCAGTGGGCGTGTGTTACAGTGTCCTCTTTCAGCTTAGCCATCTGCAGGCAGCTTATGCTAATCAGCTCATTTAGAGCCTCTGCCTTATTGCAAGGAAAGAAGTGTTTCTTTATCCCGGGGTTCTTGCTCTAGTGTACCAGAAAAATCGGATCACACGTGGGCTTAGAGAATGAGTGCAAAGTTTTATTGAGTGGTGGAAGTAGCTCTCAGCAGACTAATGGGGAGCCAGAAGGGGGATGGAGTGGGAAGGCAGTCTTCCCCTGGAGTTGGGCCTCTCAGTGGCTGGGATCTCCTCCCACCACCCTTGGCTGAATTTCAATCGGTGTCCACATTGTTCCAGTCAATGGCCTGCAGGTGTCTGTTGGTGTGTTCTTCTGCCAGTGTGTTCCTCTCGACATCCAGCCACTTGTGTGTGTGTCCACTAGGGTCTCCGGGTTTGTATAGGCACAGGATGGGGGGCATGGCAGGCCAGAGTGGTTTTGGAAAATGTAACATTTAGGCATGAAAGCAAGAGTGCCTGTCCTCACTTAGGTCCATGGGCCCAGGCCAGAGGGTGGAACCCTTGCCAGGCACCCTGCCCTTCTCTACTCAGCACTTCCCTGCCTCTCTCCTGTATCAATGTGAAAAATATTCCTCTGAAGAAACAGAATTACACAGACTGCTAGAAACATAGAGAACTATCACCGAGCTGGTTATTTAAAGAAAGTAAATACTTTGCTACACACATCAATATTCAGTGTCCTCCAAGATAGTCTTGCGTTTGTAAGTTTATACAATCATTAAGAGAAGGTCTAAGATCATGTGGATATAAAATACTTTCAGAATCATTAGTGGTTAAATAATGGTGGAAAATATTCCACTAAGTGGGCTTGTTAAGCCATGAGATCAATTTTAAAAATAGACGTTTTGAGATATTAATATTTTTTCACCATGACATTTACAAACCTAACTCATGATAATCACAGTGATCTTAAGACCCTCCTGTCTTCTAACCAAACCAAAAATTAATTAGTGAAGAAGAGAGACAGGAGGGTCAGTACAATTTATCCTGGTAATGTGCTTCTCAACTTTGTCATGTATTTAATAAACAAGTAAAGGAAAAAAAAAGAAACTTCATGTAACTATTGGTAGAAAAATAACTGAAACACAAAACAAAAAGCAACATACATTTCACCAGTCACTGCTCAGTAAAAACAGTGATTGTTGCAACATCATGGTGTTAAATATCATGCTGGGTCCACAAAGCTACAAATACAATTATGAAGTCAAAGCCTTCTTATTCCTTTCAAATATTTGATGCTTCCAACAACCAGACCCTTAGAATTGCCCCGAAAAGAGTTTTCTTTGCAGACATTCAAAATGTAGATGAAATATTTCACACTTGAAGAGAAAAAGATACCTAGAGGCTTCTATTTGTAGTTAAGTATTCCAATAGGCCAGGTTAACCAGTAGTTTCATAATACTGAACAACATGATAATGGTATGCGTAATTATTGTGGGTTGGGGGGAAAGCCAGATTGGTAAGAACTGATTGGATTTATGATTACAGTTGCCTCACATTTTTTCACTTTCAAAGTTAATCAAACTTTTTTTTGTTGGAGAAATAAGCTTGAGAATTATGATAACGTTTCTTCTAGAGGTAGCTTCCTGCTCCCACACACTTCCCACCAGATTAATACTGTTCTTTTTGAGACCTGTCAGATGCTAACAGGAAGTAGATTAGTCATCAAAAGTGAAGTAGAAACTCAACAAAAGCAGTCAGTGTGGTCTGGAGTGTTGTGTCCTGTGACCCTGGACTGCAGAACATCAGAGAAAGCTGTAGAGCTCAGCAGGGCCTGGCTGTATGATATCACCTGCAAGTACAACAGCTTGGTTGACTTTTATGCAGCCCCAGACTGTTGCAAACTCATTAAGAGTTAAGTGGGGCCAGGCATGGTGGCTCACACCTGTAATCCCAGCACTTTGGGAGGCAGAGGCAGGCAGATCACTGAAGTCGGGAGTTTGAGACCAGCCTGACCAACATGGAGAAACCCCATCTCTACTAAAAAAAAATACAAAATTAGCCAGGTGTGGTGGTGCATGCCTGTAGTCCCAGCTACTCAGGAGGCTGAGGTAGGAGAATCTTGAAACCAGAAGGTAGAGGTTGCGGTGAGCTGAGATCGCACCACTGCACTCCAGCCTGGGCAACAAGAGAGCAAGACTCTGTCTCAAAAAAAAAAAGAGTTAACTGGAAAATCTTAAACCTTACCATCACTGCTGACTTCCCAGAATACATCTTTCACTCTTGAAAGGATTTTTTTGCTGTTGTTACACAATTGTAATTGAAAAATCACGTACAGTTAGCTTTCTGAAGAAGGCAGAATGTCTTTTTGTTTTCAGTGTTGCAATTGCTTTGAAGTTTTCTCTTTTGCTTTTTTATACTTTGGTTCATGATGATGTCACTAGAAATAGATTTAAGAATTTTAAGGCCAGGCACAGTGGCTCACGCCTGCAATCCCAGCACTTTGGGAGGCCGAGGGGTGGGGGGGGGGGGGGGGGCAGATCACCTGAGGTCAGGAGTTCGAGACCAGCCTAGCCAGCCTGGAGAAACCCCATCTCTACTAAAAATACAAAAATTAGCTGGGCATGGTGGTGCCTGCCTATAATCCCAGATACCTGGGAGGCTGAGGCAGGAGAATCACTTGTACCCAGGAGGCAGAGGTTTCAGTGAGCCAAAGTTGTGCCACTGCACTCCAGCCTGGGCAACAAAGCAAGATCTGTCTAAAAATAAATAAATAAATAAATAAATAAATAAATAAATAAAATAAATAATTTTAAGAATTCATTGTGCTCCTTAAAGCAGAGGATGGTTTCTAGCCAATTCTGAAAGCAGTCTCAGATTGTTTCTTTCATCCTCATTCTATTCTTTCTCTGGTTACATATTCAATTAAATAGTGTTAGTGCTTCTCCTTTGGTAATCAATTTATCTTCACTTCTCTCATAGTTTCAGAATCTGTCTCTCTGAGCTGTATTCTTTTTTTAAAATTTATTTTATAATGCACTCTTACCACCTCATACCCCTCTCAAAATTTACTACTTTTCTCGTAAATGTAGCTTTTCTATCATTGAATGCATAATTGAATTTTATATTTTAGTGATTGCATTATTTCCTTTAAAATATTATGTCATTTTGATATTTCATTTCTTCATACACTTCAAACTTAAATATATTGGTCTTGCATACTATTTCTTAATTGTTCACTATCTGCACTCTGTGTACATCTTATGCTTTTTTTCATAGCTTCTTAAGAGAAGCTGTAACACACGCACACACGCACACGCACACTCTTACTTATGGTAGGCTATTTCCTTATCTGTTTATTAAGTGTAACAATTAGCTATATGTTTGAGCTTGAACTTTAGGAATCTGTTTGCTGTTCTATTTATTATTGACCATTATGTTTTAGAATACTACCTGTATTATTATTTGGTGATTTATTAATTATAAACATTTAATTTGACTTCTTACAGTAGGCAATGAGGACTTGGCAGTCATAGCCAGTGCCATTTTTATCAAACAATCATTAAAAAATAATTATATTTTAATTTAGCTTGAATTTACTTTCTGTATTTATGTTATTATGACTTAGTAACTATTGATCTGAGTATCCCTGATTTATAAAATAAGTGTGTTTTTTGTCCTTACACTTTAAATATTATCTTTTCATCACTGTTATTCTGAAATGTCATATCAAAGAATGAGAGATGCTAGAATCTGTGAAGAAATGTTTTAAAACAGAGAATTCTACTGAAATCAAGGAAGAACTGAAAGAAGGATGTGGCTTAAAGTATACGTTCTGTGAAGAAGGGAGATAATGGAGAAGCTGTTGATATAGTAAACAAAACAAAACAAAAAAGGCAAATAAAAGAGCTGCCTGTTCTGGTAAAGCATCACCACCTGGGTGGGAGAAGGCTGTGTGTCCTGAGCCAGGGCTTATTAATTTAATCAGCAGTACAATGTGTGAAAATATGGTAAGGAAATGATGCAGTGCTTAACTTCAGCATTTTATACTCTTAATAAAAAAAAAAATAAAAAAAAATAAAAAAAACTGGCCGGGCGCGGTGGCTCACGCCTGTAATCCCAGCACTTTGGGAGGCCAAGGCAGGTGGATCACAAGGTCAGAAGATCAAGACCATCCTGGCTAACACGGTGAAACCCCATCTCTACTAAAAATACAAAAAATTAGCCACCATGGTGGCGGGTGCCTGTAGTCCCAGCTTCTCAGGAGGCAGAGGCGGGAGAATGGCGTGAACCTGGAAGGGCGGAGTTTGCAGTGAGCAGAGATGGTGCCACTGCACTCCAGCCTGGGTTACAGAACAAGACTCCATCTCAAAAAAAAAAAAAAAAATCCCACTAGAATTATAACTGTGTTATGTCTTCCTAACATGAGAAAATAATACACACAAATATACATACAAATGCAAATATAAACATGTAATCAATATAAGTGACTGTATTATTTGCTTTTAAAAATATGGAAAGGTCGATCAAAAGCAATTTCAGTGAAAAGCTAGAAAATACATTTTAAAAATCAGAAAACCTTAATAAAGAGAATAAGCTGTGGTATGATTAAAAACAAAGGTGTGTTGTTTTATGACACATAACTCCAAATGCTTTTTCTAGCAGGTGGAAGAACTATGTTAAAAGCAGGACATCTCCACTCCTCCAGATGAGTTATGTGTTAGGCTGAAGTAAGGAGTACGGAAAGCCCAGTTGCTCTATATGATACAAAGCAAGAAGAGTTTAAACTGTTGGAGGGAAGATGGGAACTTGGAGAGAGGAAAGAAAGGACCAGCAGCATGGAATTTTACATAGGAGAAGCAGGGAAGAGATGACTTCTCTCTGAGGCAGAGAGCGGCACAAAAAGGACTTGGGAGCAAAACAATGGCAAAGAGGTAACCTTTCCATTGTTCGGCAAGGAATGTACTATGAGCCTCTCACTGTCACCCTTACAGTATTTTTATATAACTTATGATCCTCATTAAATATTTTGTGTGTGTGTAAAAATAGAAACTTTGAAAGAAATTCAGCAGGGAGCAGATGTCTATATCAGAGTCAGTGGTTCTGAAACAGTACAATTTGGCCCCCTGGAGAACATTTGACAATGTCTTGGGGCTCTGTTGGTTGTCACAACAGGGAGATAGGGAGTGCTATGTCATTTAGTTTATGTTTACCAGGGATGACAGTAAATGTTTTACATTCCATTAAAAAGCCTTGCAGAGAGAGAGAGAGAAAGAGAAAGAAAAAATATCTGTTGCAAAATGTCAATAGTGATGACATGAATAAATTCTGATCCAAATTATTGCATTTAAAGCAAAACTATTATACAGAAAAGGAAGTTATGAGCAAAGGAGGTTTCTGGTATAAGACAACAAGTTAGCAAAACTTCCTGGGAATTCTGCATAAAACTCAAAAAACTAAGAGATATCCTCACCTTGCCTCAAAGGATGTGAGTTTACCAAATTCCAGGGCAGCCATGTCTCCAAGAACATCCGAGTTTCTTCTCTACGAAAAGAAAAACAAAAAAAAAGGTTAGTCATACATTTATTAATTTCAGGGCCAAAGAGATAATAAGGGGACAAAGAATCAACTCCAAAGAGTCTCCTGCTCTTCAACAGCAGTGGGAAGACATGTATGAACTAATGACCTGTCAAATCCCAATAAGGTAGATGGGGATCTGCATGGTCTGTGGCTTCAGTAAGCAAGGAATTACTTATACCACTAGCATGCTGACTGTCCAAGATATAGGACTGCCATGCTTTAAAGAGCAGTTTCCTGATGACACAAAATATTCACCTGGACATAGAACCTCAGTCTCAGCCCCAGGCCTGTCCATCAACACTATCCCCAGACGGCTTGGATTCTAGGATCTCTGAAGCTCATCACAAGTACAGATTCAGTGTGGTTCTGAGAGTTTCTTAGTGCTGAGTGCGAACAGGAAGAGCACAGGTAGCTCCCTTGAAAAGATAAGGAAATTATTTTAATGTTTTCAGTCTGTTGGGGAAGAAGAGGGTGAGGGGCAAAAAGACCCACTACGAATAGTTAAATCAGTACCAGCCATCAGGCTAACCCAGGGTCCAGGTGAGGGTAAAGCTGTATATCTATATATAACTGTATATATATAAAGCTATACATAACTGTATATATATAAAGCTATATATAACTGTATATATCTATACAGTTAAAAGCTGATAGGATGGACTGTAGGGATCCTGAAGCTTCTGGGCACATACAGGAATTTAGTGTGATCCCCACATATTAAGCGGGACTTAGGCCGAGTTTTCCAGCAGACACAGAAAGTCAGTTCAAGGAGGATATCCAGGGCCAAAAGGAGTATTAGGTGGAATTCCTGAGTCTATCCCTCCTGTCTAGGTGAAGGTAAGGGGAAAATGCAGCTTCACACATCAAATAGACTCTGAAGGCCAGAGTAATGCTGGCAGGGATACATATACTAGAAATCATGAGAGTCATCATAGTAAAGCTGTCAGATTCAGTGATTGGTCAGATTCAGTGATTGGTCGGTCTGTCTGACTTATTTGCCTTCTAGGGAACTTCTGTCTGGAGCCAACATACTCAGGTTTGAACCAAGGAAGCCAGGCTCCTCAGGCTACTTGCTATATTAAGCAAGGCTTTGTTGTGGGGTATATTTTTGAAGGTAGCTGGAACTTCATCTTTTATCCCTTCTAAGAAAGAAAATCTTCAGAAAATCTGCATATACTTGGACATTATCTAATAACCCCAATCCCCGATGCTGTCAATTCTCTGTAGAGGATGGTATCTATTTTTAAAATTTTTTTCTTTTATTTATTTATTTACTGAGACGGAGTCTCTCTGTCGCCCAGGCTGGAGTGCAGTGGCGCCATCTCGGCTCACTGCAAGCTCCACCTCCCGGGTTCACGCCATTCTCCAGCCTCAGCCTGCCGAATAGCTGGGACTACAGGCACCCACCACCATGCCCAGCTAATTTTTTTGTATTTTTAGTAGAGACAGGGTTTCACCATGTTAGCCAGGATGGTCTCGATCTCCTGACCTGGTGATCAGCCCACCTCGGCCTCCCAAAGTGTTTGGATTACGGGCATGAGCCACTGCGCCAGGCCTATTTTTTAATTTTTATTTTTATAAATTTGTAACATTTACTCATTTTTATTCTTTTAAATGGACAACATTGTATTTACCATGTAAAAGTTGTTTTGAAGCATTTATACATTGTGGAATGACGAAATCTAGCCAATCAACATATGCATGACCTCACATAGTTATCATTTTTGTCATGAGAGCTCTTTACATCCACTCTCACTGCATTTTTCAAGAATACACTCTATTATTAACTGTAATCACCACGTTCTATAATAGATCTCTTGAACAATGGGGAGTCCTTGAAAGAATTTAATAAGGGGCTTGGTTTGATCCACCTTTGGTTTTAGAAAATTCACCTTCACAGAGCATTATGGATAATATATCCCTAAAGACTAACTCTAAATGCATGGAGACCTCTAGACTCTAGACAGACTATAGACATTTATTTAAAACCGAAGTTATGTTGTTGCAAATGACAGGATCTCATTCTTTTTTATGGCTGAATAGTACTCCATTGTGTATAAGTACCACATTTTCTTTATGTCCAGAAAAAAATCACTAGAAGTAGAAATAGAGAAAAATGGCAAAATGAAAAGGCATGAAATTCCAGTTACATGTTGCTGAATAAATTTTTAAAGGCTCTAAGTCTACATATTATAAAACAAAATCATGTTATACTTAAAACCACTGTGGATTAGATAATTCAGAAAAAGGCACAGTGGGGATGGGTCCTTATATTTCCACAACATCTGGTGTACCTCATAAGTCTAGGACTGGAATAAGCAAAGCTGCAAGACCCACATCATGGTCTAAAACTATCACACATATAAATGAAAGAATAACTTAATGTGACATTTCAATGTAATATAATTTCAAAAAAACACGTCGTGTTCTTAATTTTAGTTATTTACTAAATAATTGCTGATGGATCAATTGTAACCATTCAATAGCTACTTAATTTAGCAGTTGCTATTTTCATAAATACCTTTAATTTCCCCAGAATTATTGCAGCATTCTAAAAGAATGCTAAGATTATAACTATACATATATACATGAGACATTGATCACATTTGTCTTTGGAACATGGAAGTTACAATATTTGGCATATTTGAAAATATACAATTTGATCAATTCTATAGATGCACAGAATTAGAATACAGAATTTTAATATTTTCTATTAATATGTGACAGTAGATAATATCAGATGAGGTTAAAATTAGTGCTTAGCTGCTGAGAATAACATTTTATTCCTGATTTTTAATGGCACTTAACAAGAGAAAATAATCTACTTTTTTAGGATAGAAATTTTTACTGAACAAATTCTTGATTAGAGTAATTCAAGCATTGATGAATAAATTTGACATTAAGATACACTTAGGAACAAATGTTGAAGCTTTGTGCAAGTGTAATAGATTTATGTGAGCCAACTAACTTCTAAATAATTAAAGCAGCATTCACAGCTTTCTAAAAATATAGGTATCCAGTCACCCAGGAGATTAGCCTATAGCTGAGAGCCTGTCTGACATGCCATGGTTATTAATGGTACTAATAAAACTGAAGCTAGCCAGCTCTCTTGCAAAGGGGTTGATGGGGAAATGCAACCGAGCATGATCCTTCTTTTAACAAAGAGAAGGATTTCCCATGTTTTGCTTATTTTCTGACTTCTGGTCTGAAAAGTTGTAGTTACTTTTATTTGGTGCTGGCAGATGATTCTTATTATTATCACAGAGCATTAGCCACATAAAAAAACTGAAGGGTTTCTTCTGAAATATTTGCTGTTGTTTCTTTTAAGGTTCAAAGAATATGTTCCTTTGAAATAATATCAGTCCAAACTCAACCAACCACATACACAAACCTGCATGTGTGTGCACTCACACATACTAATTAAAGAGTTAGAAGCTGTGACTTGATCTGTGTTCAGAATAATGTGAACCTAAAATATTCAGAAAGAAATAGAAGCTTTTCTCTGTCTTTTAGGCATTTTCAATTTCCCTTAAGTTCAAAAATATTTGTGGCTTTTTATTCAATTAGCCAAGACATCATCAAGAGTAACTTATTTTTCAAATTTTCTTTTCACCATCATCCAAAAAACTCTGGTGATGCACAAATAAATGACTTCTAGAATTAGCTGTGGGAATTGAGGTAAGTTACTTAACATTTGTGAGCTTTCGTTTCTCAATTGCAACTGCAGAATTGTTTATCCACCCAATAAGGTTGTTGTGAGGATTGTATAAACAAGACTAGACATATAGAAAGTGCATATTTATGGCAACACACTTCAAAACTACATTGCCTTTCTGTTTTAGACCTTAAGAGAAAAAGACTTTTGGGTATGAGAGGAAACAGAAGTAAACACACTAAACCCAGACTACACAAACCAATTTTATATTAGCCACATATGTGGCTACAATACTAATGTTTTCCAGGGCAGGAAAATGTGTTTGAGCAGTCATATCAATGTAGCCTCAGACCTCCAGCAACACTTACTCTTAAACAGTCATATCTGATTTAGTTCCTCTATTGACACCAATCTCTAAACATGAAAGTAGAACCAAAATAAATTCTTTACGAAGGAGAAAAGTTCTTTGTAAATTCAGACTTCAAAACATTTTTCTGTAATCTTGTATACATCATGAATCCCTGAATAGATTAGAGTTTGGATTAAAGTTATACAAAATTAGAGAAAAAACAAATTTCTGAGCTGAACTCCTTACACAAACTTTTAATTATCAGACATGCAGACAAGTTTTGGACAAAAATAAACCTGTCAGCTAAAACAATTACATATATCTATGGAAACAGAGTATAAAACATATTGATTTCCTTTAGTAATTTTAAAGGTAGTCCAGAAGAATCAAGAAGGATATAGAAGATGTCAACAGTTCTATAAATCAACTTTGCGTGAGTGAATATTTATAGAACTTAAACCAACAACTTTAAAATACATATTCTTTTCACATGATAAGTAATATTAACCAATATTGACCAAATCATAAAATAAATTTCCACATATTTCCAAAAATTGAAATTATGTAGCCTGATGTATGACTACAATGGAGATAAGTTAGGTGTCAATAGCATTAGGAGAGCTAAAAAATCTCCAATATTCGAGAATTAAAAAAATAAAAACAACTTCTAAATAACCTGTAAGACAAAAAAAATGTAAAGGGAAATAAGAAAATATTTTAAATTAAGTGACAAGAAAATTTAACATATTAATAATGGTAAAATTCAGTTACAGCAGAACTATGAGAGAATATTAGATTTAAAAGCTTGTATAAGAAAAGAGATATGTTTAATAACAGTGATTTATGTTTCAACTGCAAGACACTAGAAAAGATGGCCAAAATATGCAAAGTAAGTAGAAGAAATAACGTAATAGACATAAGAAATCAATGAAATAGTAAAAGGCAACAAAAATTTGAAATGTCAGGATTTAGTTATTGGTAAAAAGATATTAAACTTGATAAGTCTACATCAAGACTCATCGAGAGAATAGAGAAAAACTAAAAACTGACAATATTTGGAATGAGAGAGAGAATACCACTATGGTTCCTAGAGACATCAAAATAATAACACTGACTAAGGAAGAAACACAATATCCATTTCTGTGTGTGTGTGTGTGTGTGTGTGTGTGTGTGTGTACAGAGTATTCTTTTACAAAATTACCCCCACAGGAAAAAAAAACATGCACAGAATGCTGTACTGGTAATTACAAAATATTTATGAAAAAGTACATATTTATATTTAAATTGGCAGATATATAGTCCAATGAAACAGAATAGAGAGCCCAGAAATAAACTCTTGCATATACAGTCAACTTACCTTCTACTAGGAAGCCAAGAATACACAATGGGGAAAGAATAGTCTCATCAACAAACACTGGTGGAGAAAACTGAATGCCTACAGGCAAAAGGGTGAAATTGGACACTTATACCATACACAAAAAATCAACTCGAATATGGATTAAAAACTTAAATGTAAGACATAAAATTGTAAAATTCCTAGAAGAAAACATGGGAAAAATGCTACTCTACATTAGCCTTTGCAACAGTTTCTTGAACATGATAACAAAAGCACAGGCAATTACAGCAAAAATGCCTGTGTAATTACATGAAACCAAAATGCTTTTGCACAGCAAAGGAATCAACAGAGTAAAGAGACAACCTATGAAATAAGAGAAAATATTTGCAAGCCAAAAAAGGAGTTAATATCTAAAATACAAAAGGGACTCCTATAACTGAGTAGCAAAAATAATCACAATTTAAAACTAGGTAAAGAATTTCAATAGATGCTTCTCTAAGGAAAGCATACGAATGACCAACAGGTATGTAAAAAGGGTTTCCACATTACTAATCATCAGGAAAGTTTAAATCAAAACCACAGTGAGATATCAAATCATAGCTGTTAAGATAACTATTGTAAAAAAATGTTGCTGAGGATATAAAGGAAATCCTCGCACACTGTTTGTGGAAGTGTAAATTGGTTCAGCCACTATGGAAACAGTATGGAGAGTATTCAAAAAATTGAAAATAGAGCTACTATATGATCCAGAGATGCTACTTCTGGAGATATATATATATATATATATATATATATATATATATATATATATATATATATATATATGTATATATGTGTGTGTGTGTGTGTATATATATATATAAAAGATTTAATTTCATCTTGAAGATACATATCTTGAAGAGATACCTGCTCCTATGTTCACTGCAGTATTATATACAATAGCCAAAATATGGAAGCAACCTAAATGTCCATTGATGGATGAAAGGGAAAAGAAAATGTGCTATTTACATAAATGGCACATTATTCAATTCTTTAAAAGACAGAAATACTATCATTTGTGACAATATGGATGAATCTGAATGACATTTTACAACTGAAGAAAGTCAGGATAAGAAGGACAATTACTACATGATTCTACTTACATGTGGAATCTAAAACAGTCAAACCCATAGAAACAGAGAGCAAAATAGCAGGTGCAAGAAGCTGAGGGGAGGGGAAAACAGGTAGGTGTTGATCAAAAAGTGCAAAACTTCAATTACACAAGGTGAATAAATCCTAGAAATCTACTGTAGATAATAGTCCCTATATTTAACAGTACTGTATCATATACTTAAACATTTGGTAAGAGATTAAATCTTATGTTGTATTCTTATCACAAAAATAATAAAAAAGAGAGGGGGAGGAAATTTTTGGAAATGATAGATACATTCGTGAAATTGATTGTGGTGATAATTTCACAGATGTATACTTATTTCTAAAGTCATCATTTGTATACATTAAATATGTACAGCTTTTTGTATGTCAATCATATCTCAGCAATTTTTTCAAAGAAGGTATTCAATAAGCAAAAATATGAATAAAAATGTTCTCAATCTCAATAGTCTACCAGGTATTAATATATTTTTACTAACAAGTCAATTTAGCAAGGTCATTGAATACAAAGTGAATATACAAAAACGGTTTTATTCTATGCACTTGCTACAAATGATTAGAAAATTAATTCTTACATATTATTTACAACAGCATAAAAATCGAATTTCTATGAATATATTTAATGTTCAGTATCTCTACATTGAAAACTCCAAACTAGAACTGAGAAAAATTAAAGGGCCAAATAAATTAAAGGGGTTGTCATTTTCATGGATTGGAAGACCCAAGATTATTAAGATGTCAGTTATTTCCAAATCTATGTGTTGAATTGATAAAGTCCCAATCAAAGTACAGGCAAATGAACACTATCTCAAACAGATAACCAAGGTTAATATCTTCATGTTCATAGTCACGTTGGTAACATTTACCCCTGATATAATGTGATAAGAATGGTACTTCACCTCTGTAGTCATCCTCCAAATAACTCATAACCCTAGTTTAACCATTAAAAAAATAAGACAGTCAACCTGAGGACCATTCTCCAAACTGTCTAAACCATATCCCTTAAAACTCTCAAGGTCATCAAAAGCAAGTGAAGCCTAAGAAACTGTCATGAAACAAAGGATATTAAAGAGACATAATAACTAAATATAATGTGGGATCGTGGATGAGATCATGGAACAGAAAAAAGATACTGGGTAAAAACTAGTGAAATCTGAATAAACTGTGATTTAATTAATAATACATTATATTAATCTTGATTCCTTAGTGGTGACAATGAACCATAGCAATGTAATATGTTAACAATAGCGGAAACTGGGTAAGGGTATATGGGAACTCTCTGTAATATCTCTGCATTTTTCGTGTAAATCCAAAAATACCCTAAAATTTTTAAAATGAATTAAAAACAAAACATGTTGGACTAAAAGATTGTAGAATATCTCAAAATTGTGTCCACTTAGTAACATGTAATAATAATGATAAACCACTTTATCAGACAATTTAGAGTTGCAATTCCTAGAATGAGTTTGTCATGATTGTTCAGACAATAGAAACCAGTTTTCTACTTTATAAAATTTTTACTCTGAAAATAATTTTAGAATAACCATAAAAGATTTTCTAAGTATTGTAATAGTACATTAGTGTAAGATTATCATGTATCCTTCATGGCATTGTTCATTAGAAAATCTGAGATTGCCTTGGCAAACGTAAAGTATTACCTTTATGTTACTATTATACAATTTGACTTTCATTCTAACTAGGAAGATATCAAATAATTTAATCATTTTTTCTTAGTATTTCATTATTTTGAATACATCTATGAAGGCCCTGAACATTGTAATACTTTCAATACTTTCCATTTCAAAGATCAAATTAGTACTAGTGGAAACAGAGATAAATCAAGAATTAACTGAGAGCCTCTAGAAGGGTCTGATTTCTGAAGTTTCAGGTAACATATTGAGAGCAAGGGCTCCATAGTAAGCAGTTTCTAGTGGGTCATATATTCCCCAATATTTCTTTTGACCTCACTGTATCTAATCTACTCACTGGGTGAAGTAGGTTCTATGGAAGAGTGTAAAAGCTTGATACGTCCCTCTCTCCTCCACACTCTGCAAGATTTAATTATAAGAAGATATCTCTTTTATTCCTTAAGATGAGCCCTCTATTAATCATTTTCCAGAGAGCTCAGCAATAAACCTCTTGGATTTAATGAAATACATTAAAATAAAGGCATCTTTTTAAGTGTAACTTTATTGTGTGTAACTAATATCATTAAATGAATTATTTAAGGTTTAATTTATCACATCTAGCTCATTAAAGATGCTCCTTAAAAGATTCATATTATTTCTACTGCACATATTTTTTGTTTTGATGTTTGTTTCCAGTAACAATATAAACTGAAATCAGTAACCTTATGACCTCTGTCACTCCACATACTAACTCAGATTTTGAAATATGCACATATGGATATAAATGAATAACTGAATATGTAAATAAATGAAGGAGAAGGGATAGCTCCTCCCTGAAAAGTATGTACAATTAATAAATGTAGAAGGAATTAGGGAAAAGAAAGTCATCATTAGAAAATCACAACAATAATCACTGCAGGCAAAATCCATTGATGAACAGAGAGGATATTTACAACGTCTCCAAGTATCTTCACAAAATATTTATTAATTCTAAAGGAAACCGTGGTACCTTTATGGTAGAGAATGCTGGTAGACACCATCCTAAATAATATTTATATCACCAATAATAAAACATGAAAATCATAATTCCTGACATGATACACTACATTGGGTATATCACTTCTACAGCATTTTTGTCAAAAGTGCATGATCTCAGTTTAATGAGAAAACATCAGATAAACCAAAATTCACAGATATTTAACAAAAAAATTACTAGTATTAAGAAATAGCAAAGTCATGAAAAACAAGAAAAGGCTTGAGGAACCGTGATTTGGAGGACACTGAAGTGACATGAATAAATCCTATGAGGAATTCTGAATTGGATCCTAGGACAGACACACAATACTGTAAAAGAAAAGCTGGTGGTATCCGAGCTAATTGCATAATTACTTAATAGTACTGTGCCAACATTAATTTCTTAGTTGTGACTATTGCAGTAGTCATGAAGAGGTTAATGTCAGAGAAAGCCAGGTGAAGCCTACATGTAAGCACTCTATTCTTTTCATAACTTTTTTTTTTTAGCAGAAAGTCTGATTTAATTAATTTAAATAATTAAAAAGGGCTTAACACTGTTTTTCCAATTATTTCGTTTACTACTATTTGTGCTGAAGCTTTACTTTTTTCTTTTTTTATTATACTTTAAGTTCTACTTTTTAATAACATTTTTAAAGATTTAAAATTATTTCAAAATTAGAAGTTAAAAAACAAGCAATTGATTCTTACATAATATGCTCTAAGTTGAACACATTGCAAAACTAAAACTATTAGCAATATACTTGCAACAAATTATTAAATTCTCAAGGACTGCAAAATGAAAATTAGAATTGTATTTATGAAGTACTCCAATCAGAATCAAATTACAATGGAAAAGAAGAGATGCTTCTTGGTTCAGATGATACACATATCCTTTCACTCAACATAATCATACATACCCAACCATGTTTGCATTATTTTAAAATCTAATACATCATAAATATTCCATTTACACAAATTTAAACAATTAGCTAGACAATATTTATCAATTTGAATGTGATACTCCATGATAACATTGATGTACCTCATACTCACTGAAAGCAATTCTACCTATACAAAGAGGTTATCTAAGCTTCAAGAAATTTTGGTTGGGTATAAAGAATACATTGATTGTTTATATAATAAAATAATAGAACGGGATATCAGGAGATTATGTTCCTAGGGAATCCAAAAGGAGATAAAAAGTAAACCGACGGGTTGGAGTTGAAAGTGGAAGAAAAATAAATTAATGTTAATTATAGGTTAATATATGTGAGACTAAATCTAGAAGATTACACTAATATACTTTTGTTCCTTACAACCATAAGGAGTAGGTTTTATCATTAACCCAATTCTGTACACATGAAACCTGAGGTACAACGAGGCTAAGTAAATCAGGTGTTATGTGCTGAATGGTGTCTCCAAAAAGCTATGTCTAAGACCTAACCCTTGGTACCTGTGAATGTGACTTTATTGGGAAATAGGTTCTTTGCCGATGAAATAAGGTTAAAATGAGACAATGAGGGATTGGGGTGAGCCCTAATCTAATGACTTCTGTCCTTATAAGAAGAGGAAAATTTGGAGGCAGATAGACACAGGAGGAGAACACAACCCTATTGTGGTAATAGAGACACAGGTTGGCATGATGCGTCTATCAGCCAAGGAATGCCAAAAATTGTCGACAACTTCCTGAAACTAGGAGAGAGGCACGGAAAACATCCCCCTCCTTGCCACCAGAAGGAACAAACCTTGCCAACACTTTGCTTTTGAAATTTTAGCCTCCAGAACTATGAGGCAATACATTTATTTGAAGGTACTCCGCTTGTGGCACCTTGTTATAGCAGTCCTAAAAAACAGTTTACAGGGCTATGAAGTGCATGAATCTGAATTCAAACATACTTAAGATTCCTCTAACTTAATCTTACTTTGTAAAAGAAATCAATCTGACAAAAGGCTTAAGACATGCATCGGACCAAAAACAGAATGGAATCCTGTGTTCTCCTGGCATTTATTCTCGATCACATTGTGATTGAGATCATATTATGATCACATTATGATAATTCGGGAACAAATGTTCTCCCGAACATGATAGTCAACAATAGCAGGTAGCTAGGCAACCTGCAGCTGGGCTGCAGCCAAGGAGGCAGCACCACCTCGCACCGGCCAAAACAAAGACACATTCTAGAAACATCCTGAGATAAAACTGGTGGATCACACAGTTGCTGTGGATTCAAATCTCCTTCTCTTTTATATATCTATGTATGTAGATATATGTGTGTATATCTCTGTGTGCGTGTGTGCGTGTACACACGCATGAGTATTTAAATGCACCTACTTTCTTGACAAATTAAAAAAGGAATGACTCCTTTGAGGCGGTCCTTCCTGTTTAAGCTTGAGTTTCTATTTCACTAAATGCAAATTCATGTTGGTAGGCTACTCGTCCAGCTAGGGTTGCTGTTTCCAGACTACAGCTTAGCAGTGTGGAAATTACTGATGCACAGATTCTTTGTGATCTTAGATTGGAATGTTGGTGTTTCACTCCTATAGATTATGTTAAATTCTAAGAAAAAACGCACCTCATAGCTCATGGATGGAAAAACACTGATCAAGGCATTTTTGGATTCCAAGTTATGAACAAAATCTCTCGGAAGCACAGTGCAGCCAATGTCAAATGGGACACCTGTTAATATATTAGGAACTTCTAAGAGTAGTAACATCAAAAGTTACATAATAAACAATGCCTCTGATTGTCCATCACCCATTCATTTAATTGGAGAAAAGCAAATAAATACCAACTTAGTACAGAAGGTACTGAAGAGCCTAACAAGACTCAAAATTCACTATTAATTAATTGATCTTGAAAAACATGTTCCTATTTAAGTAATGTTTGATAAAAACAGGATAAAGGGAGATTTGAAAAGTGTTTCTTTATTCACATCAAAGTTAGCAAAGCCATCCACTGTGTGTCATCTGCAAAGGAGTTAAACCAAAGGACTTTTTCTGGACCATCTAATTTGGGTAAATTCATCAAAGGCACATTATTAGGAAGGACGTCATACTCTTCAGTCAGTGCTCCAAAATCACTATTGAATGGATTTTATAGAAACCCACTGAGTTTCAATAGCATGCAAAGACCTAGAGCAAATTCTTGTGCTACTAGAAGTAGTTCTAGAGAAAGCTTAGCTGAATCCTCAGACAATATTATGCATATTACTGGTGAAAAAAATGGTAAGGTCACACAACTGTTCACATTCCATTCAGAGTTCATTTCTTGCACCTTCATCTATAACCAGATCACACTCCTTCAATAGAGCTATAGATCTTATAAGTACTAACAGTACAGTCTTTTAAGTACTAACACCTATCCATTAGAGTACCTCTGCACTCATGTATGCTAACAAGAAACTATCAGCAGTAAGAAGTATGAAATTAGAGTGAACATTTGGGATAAGGATTTATTAGGTCTTATGCTGCTGGTGGAAAGAAATTGGCTTTACAATGGCCCAGGTGCAACCTTCACTTTAGGTTATTGGATGGTTCATCTCTCTCTACTGAAATCGAGCTGGCCTCAAGTTTCTGGGACTTTGATGGATCACAATTAATGGAAATAAAAATTCCCCTGCTGACATATTTGTAGAAGATGATGCTACAGTTTTGGCTAAGGATAAAGCTACTAATGAGGACCAAGAATTAACTGAAAATGAAAGTTATAGGACAGAAAATGATGAGACCATGAACCATGATGCTAAAATAGATAGCTGAGTGATGATGTGGATAATATTTCCTTGTCTCCTCTGTCATCTTCTGATAAGAATGATTTAAGTGAAGACTTCAGAGAATATTTAATAGGTGTAAAAGACTTCAACAGAACTAGAATAACTCTAGAGGAAATTTCTCTCAAAGAAGAAAAATATGAAAAGGTAACACCCCAGAATATATCTGATTCTCTCAAGGAAAATGAAAAAATCTTGCAGTGAAACTGATAAATAGATATAAATGTCTCTAATATGAGTGAATATATGAAACATACTTCTGGGAATAATTTGATTTTACCAGACACAGATTTCAGAGCTGGTTCTTCATTTGGACTCTCCATCTGATAGCTATAATGGAACATACATGTGGAATGAAGAGGGCTTGGAACCCACTGGAAATGTCTATCCAATTGGGAGTTACGAGCCCTATGAAATGAACAACATAGATATTTTGAATAATCTTGAATCATGTGAATTTGAGGATGATGGCCTTATGATACACATCTTGAAAATGTGGAGCATGAAAATATGAACTGCTTTGACTGACCAGACAGAAGTGTTCAACAGCCTCAGGAAGAATTTTGGAAAAGGCCACCCTAGAAATTGAGTAGACAGGAACGCTACCACGTCAGTCATCCTAACCACTGTGATTACCACGGATAAAGTAATTTGAGCAGAGGCTCTCCCTATAGTGAATCTTCTTTGGGTCATTTTGAAAGCTATGGAGAGACACCCCTTTTCCAGGTTCAGAAAATGTTTGTAGATGTACCAGAAAATGCAGTGATGCTGGATGAGATGACCCTCCAGCACATGGTTCAAGATTGGAGCTTTGTAAAAACTCAGTTACTCAAACTGAAACATCTCCTGCATCAGCATGAAGGACATGGTTCCTGGCATGATATTCAACTATCATTGCCATCAAGTACAAGAACCAGAAGATGGTGATGAAATATATGAGAATGAAGATTTATTAAATGAAATAAAACAACTTAAAGAGAAAATAAAGACAAAAGATGAAAAGATCCAACAATTAGAGAACTTCAGCTTGCAATTCAGTATAACAGCCACCAAAAATCTAAATAGGAAAAATGCACACATACTGATAAATATACCAAAATGCCCTGGAGACAAATTCCTCCTCAAGTGCTACAGCCTTCCAGCAGCCCTCCCAGACCAACAGACTACACCAAGAGAGAATGAATATAGCCCCAACATGTGGAGGTTCCCAGCAAAGGTGCAATCCAAGACATGCGTCAGGGCTTCGCATATCTAGATGAAAGCTTTACATATGACTTGCAACAAGAAAACAACTATGGTTTGGAAGACCACCCTTTGGCGTCAAACCCACATTAACAATGGATGTGGCTAAGAGTACATTTTCTGAAGCAAACTTAAACATGACTGTAAATGCTCAAGAGCCTTATCATTTGGCAAATAATAAAATTAGTGACATGCCGTTTGTACCCACTTTTCTTCAGACACCTCTCCAGTCTAGTACAGTAGACCAGGCTAAGAGAGTTAGAAGCTATACATGTCACCTCATGTCCCCGCAGCTTTTAAAACCATCCATCTTGATTCTGTGATACCTCCTCCAGCTTCTGAATCATCTCCAAGCAGGACTGCTGCTTGTAAGAAGTCTTTGATAATCACAGCATGTAATTCAGCAGAACTTCAGTCAACATCAAGTAAGAAAAAAAAATCGTACAACTAATCGGAATCTGAAAGCATCTAAGCTCTGCCACCCTTCAGGTTCTTTCAAACAAAAACAAATAAACAAGCTCCAACTAGAGCCTCAAAACTTCTAAGCCAAACAAGCAACTCAAAACCACTAAGACAAATAAAATAAAACATGTAGAATCCAAATAGCAATTTACATTTTGGGGATTCTTTGGCCTCTAATCATTATTCTAGTCTTCTTAAACCAAAGATATATTAAGTACATAGCTGTAACCTGCCAATTTGTTTTTTAAAAAACAATCTGTTCTGTAATAGTTTTACATGCTGTTTGCTAGTGTACTGCAGGCTCTATTGAAAAACCTGGAAATTTTAAAATTAAAATGTGAAAGCTTCTGCTAGTTTGACTCTTCCATATCCTGGTTCCAAATACATGTCATTTGAGCGTACTTATCTCGAGTAAACACAAATGTTTGCTTACCCATTTCGGAGGCCTGCCAAACGCTCTAATCATGTTATTTATCCCCCTGTACTTTGGAAAATTTATAATATTATGCTTAGCAGGCAAGAAGTGTGCTTTCCTGGTTTAATCCTGTTAGAATCTCTATTTATTGTGGTTATTAGAACCTCACTCCTTTTCACTCGTATCTCCTGTGAATATGGCTATTATTTTAACTAAAGACACGGTAATTAATGGAAGTTCGTAGTCTGTAAATAGTGTTCTGGCCAATGCTTTATATATTTAAAAGGAGTATACAAAAACTTTGTGATGAATAAAGGAGTTTAGGCTTCTAATAAATAAATATTTTAATATTTGCATTATTTAAATAGATTTTAACCTTTAATGTTTCTCATCCCTTGAATTCTTTGAGTTTAGGTAATTTCAGTAAAAATTCTCAGGCAAGATACATAGTTTAAAGCTTTTTGAGGTTGCCACATAATGTGGAAAATTCTATCCTTAAATGATAATTTAGAAAGACAATTATTTCACTAAATTAAAATGTTTTAATTTATGAATTTTGAGAAATTTTAACTGGGTAGCAAAAAATAGGTAATATGGAAGTAAACAGAAATATTTTTATACAGTTCATGGTTTTTTGTTTGTAGTAAGTTTTAAATTTCACAAATACTTTGTTGAGGTAAAACTGGTATATAATAAGCTACACATATTAAAATGTACAATTTAATAATTTTGACATATATATGTGCGTTATATACACACACACATACATACAGTTGGTCCCCTGTGTCTGTGGTTCCACATCAAACCAAATTCAAATTAAATATATTCAAAATAATAGTAGTATATACAGTTTATGTTCTAATAAACAGAGATAGACATTGTTGAAAATATTTCTAATTTTTTTAGAATATTTAGATATGGTTTGGCTCTTTTCCCCAGCCAAATCACATCTCGAATTGTAATCCCCATAATTCCCAATTGTCAAGGGCGGGACCTGGCGGGAGGTAATCAGATCATGGGATGTTTCCCCCATGCTGTTCTCATGATAGTGAGTACTCACAAGATCTGATGTTTTTATAAGTGTTTGACAGTTCCAACTATACACACTCTCTCTCTCGCCTGCCACCACATAAGACATGCCTGCTTCCCCTTCCGCCATGATTATAAATTTTCTGAGGCCTCTCCAGCCATGCAGAACTGTGAGTCAATTAAACTGTTTTGTCTTTGTAAATTATGCAGTCTCAGGCAATTCTTGATAGTAGTGTCAGAATGGATTAATACAATTGGTTTTAGATTATTTTAGATCTCAGTATCAATAATTCAATTAGATCATCACTGAATTAGTTTAGTAAATATTCTTGTACAAATACACTATAGTGTTGCAAAATTAGCATTTGCAATTGATAATTATCATCTCTGTTCAAAAAATCCAATTATATATTAGCAAACAATTAAAAATAAAAAACACATTTTACAATTTTATTAAAACAAAATACTTAGGAAAAAAATTAACAAAAAAATACAAGATTGCAATAAAAAATAAGAATTCATAAGTAAAATTTAAAAAACTAAGTAAATGAAGAGGCATACTGTGTTCATAAATTTTATCATTTTATCATTTGATATTCAATATGTCTATATTCTCCAAAAGGATTTTTATAATTACACAAGGTCTCAATCAAATATCCGTAGCAATTTTGTAAAAATTGATTATTCTAAAAACATATAAAAGTTGGAAAGGCCTAATATAGTGAAAACAATTTTGCAAAATAAGGAAGTTGAAACACTTAACACTATGTGGTTTTGAGACTTAATTTAGACTGAGACCATCATATAATTCATCAAAAATATTTTAAATAAATACTACTCAAAATAATTACTGGGCACAGGTACTTTACCAATAAATTGGATTACAAAATTTGATCTTAAGACCATGAGTAATGTCTATTCTTTTAAATGTTGTCTGCTTACTAATGAAAAAATATGACTTAACAAAATTAGAACCAAGTTAATAAATATCCAATTATGAAATTTCCAGAAAAACAAGGATAATCATCAAAATCTAATAAAATAAACTAAAATAACATAAATAAGACATCTTTAGGTAATTGTAGTTACTTTGTTTTATCTATATTTTGTATATATACAGTACCATACATTGCTTCAGTAAGAATTTATCAAATGCCTATTGAGCTGATCACCAGAAACTGAATTGAATGAAAGCCTTCATCAAATACTTACTGAATGCCAGGCACTGGGTTGAATGCTCAGATTCAAACATCTATAAAGCTGGGAGTGTTGGCTTATGCCTGTAATCCCAGCACTTTGGGAGGCCAAGGCAGGTGGTTCACTTGAGGTCAGGAGTTCAAGACCAGCCTGGCCAACATGATGAAACCCCGTCTCTAATAAAAATACAAAAATTAGCCAGGCGTGGTGGCGGGCACCTGTAATCCCAGCTACTAGGGAGGCTGAGGCAGGAGAATCACTTGAACTCAGGAGGCTGAGGTTGCAGTGAGCCAAGATCGTGCCATTTTACTCCAGCCTGGGCGACAAGAGCGAAACTCCGTCACGAACAAACAAACAAACAAAATGAATAAGATGCACAGTCAATTTAGTTGTGGTGCATAATGGTGGGGGTAAAATAAGGGAGGAAACAAAAATAGAATTGTGTTTTTTATTTTATAGAAAGTACAGGCTTGTCTTAGGCCAAAACATAGGCAAAGGCTGAGAATAAAGAGAGGAAATGATTTCCTCTGTTTCATGAGTCATGAAAGAACAAACTGTACTCTGGTTCTATTAAAGGCTTGTATTCATAAGTAGAGCATCTTCTGTCTTTGCTACTCTAGGATTATAGGAGTATTATGAGTAAAACCTCTATGTTTAAACACATTCCAAAACCTGTTAATCAAAGCTGTAAAGTTACCCTCGGTCTGTTTAGCATGAGTTTTCATGGCTTCCTCGAAACCCTGAAGTGGGTTTTCTTTTTTCCATCTTTTCAGAAACCACAGTCAGATTCAATAAAATGTGATTCTTGGACACTAAATGCTCCCCTGTCCCAGAAGACAGGCACTGTTTATATTAGATTAGATCCTTCAAACCTAGTTCATCACAGTGTACAGATATTTAACAGATAACCTGGCAGAGAAAAATACGATAGAACAGAGAGACTGAAGCATCACCCAACAGTTAGTAAAAGTATGAACCAGTGAAAATGAGCCTATTCAACATACTGAACATACTTGAATAGAATCAATTTATCAAATTGTGCCTGTATTTATCCTAGGATTAGTTATCTGAGCCCATGTATTACAAAATTGTATAAACAAAGGGATTAATCTATGTCCTTAGAAAATTTGATACATTCCTGATGTCAATGCAAAATCACTATCTTCATATTTGTGATATTAAAGTAAACAGAAAGTAGTCATCTTTTATCATGCAATATTTGTCAACAGTAGCTCAATTATTTATTTAATACTTAGCTCCTAATTTTAATTTATACATGTGAGTAGTTACATATGAGTTTAAATACATTTATTTTCTTAATCACTGGTATTATTTTTTACTATTAAGTCTCACTCAATAATATTTTTTATTATTTACAGTGAAATATTAGTCTCCATTTTAAGTGTACATTTTACCCAAACCAATAATACCAGGACATTAAAGAAATGTTGTATGTCATCTCTTGAGGCTTTTAAAAAATATCCTTATTGATAGAGTCATGCTCTATTGGAGAAAATAAAACACTACAATTAAATTAATCAGCATGTTTGAACTCAGTATAAATAATAATTAAGCATTTCTAAGGAATTATTTTATTAAACTTTATTTCACTAAACAATGACTACCTGCACATAACAGTTTAATCTTTTTGCTTTTTTTTTTAACTTTCATTTTAGGTTCCAGGGTACATGTGCAGGTTTGTTATACAGGAAAACTGTGTGTCATGAGGGTTGGTACACAGATTATTTCATCACCCAGGTAATAATTATACTAGCTGATAGGTAGTTTTTTGACCTTCTCCCTCCTCATACCCTCCACCCTCAAGTAGGCTCTGATCTCCCTTGTGCCCTTCTTTGTTTTCATGTGTTCCTGTTGCTTAGTTCTCACTTATAAGTGAGAATATGCGGTATATGTTTTTTTGTTCCTGCATTAGTTTGTTTAGGATAATGGCCTCCAGCTCCATCCATTTTACTGCGAAAAACATGATCTTGTTCTATTTACGGCTGCATAGTATATGGTGGTGGATATGCATTACATTTTCTTTATCCAGTCTACCATTCACGTGCATTTAGGTTGATTCCATGTTTTTGCTATTGTGAATGGTGCTGCAATAAACATACATGTGCATGTATCTTTATGGTAGAATTATGTACCCAATAATGGAATTGCTAGGTTGAATGCTAACTCTGTTTTAAGTTCTTTGGGGAATCACCGTTCTGCTTTCCACAATGGCTGAACTAATTTACATTCCTACCAGCAGTGTATAAGCATTTCCTTTTCTCCACAACCACTCCAGCAACTGTTATTTTCTGACTTTTTAATACTAGCCATTCTTGGTGGTGTGAGATGGTTTCTCGCCGTGGTTTTGATTTGCATTTATCTAACAATTAGTGATGTTGAACATTTTTTCACATGCTTTTTGGCCCTGTGTATGTCTTCTTTTGAGAAGTGCCTGCTGATGTCCTTTGCCCCCTTTTTTGGGGTCGTCTGTTTTTTGCTTGTTGACTTGCTGACATTCCTTAGAGGTTTTGGATATCAGACCTCTTTTGGATGCATAGTTTGCAAACATTTTCTCCCATTCTCTATGTCATTTACTCTGTTGATAGTTTCCTTTGCTGTGCAGAAGCTCTTTAGTTAGGTCCCATTTGTTAATTTTTTGGGGTTTTTTGCAATTGCTTTTGGCATCTTTGTCATGAAATTTTTGCCAGGTTCTCTGTCCAGAATGATACATCCAAGATTATCTTCCTGGTTGTTTATAGTTTTAGGTTTGTTAAAATTTTTAATCCATCTTGAGTTTTTGTATATGGTGTAAGGAGGGGGTCTAGTTTCAATCTCCTGCATATGAGTAGCCAGTTATCCTTACAACACTTATTGAGGAGAGTCCTTTCCCCATTGTTTTTGTTGAATTTGTCAAAAATCAAATGATTGTAGGTGTGCAGCATTATTTCTGCCCTCTCTGTTTTGTTCCATTAGTCTATGTCTCTGTTTTTGTACCAGTACCACGCTGTTTTGGTTATTATGGCCTTCCAGTAGACTGTAAAGTTGGATAACACGATGCCTCCAACTTTCTTTGCTAAGGATTGCCTTGGCTATTTGGGCTCTTTTAGATTCTATATGAATTTTAAAATAATTATTTTTCTAAATCTGTGCAGAATGTCATTGGTAGGTATTCTTGAGTTTCAATTTCCTGATTTTATTATTTTTATTTCAATAGTTTTTTGGGGGGTACATGTGGTTTAAGTTACATGGATGAGTTCTTTAATGGTGAATTCTGAGATTTCAGCGCACCCACTTCCTGAGCAGTGCACACTGTACCCAGTTTGTAGTCTTTTATCCCATACCTCCCTGCTAACCTCCCCCAGCCGGAGTCCCCAAGTCCATTATATTGCTCTGTATATCTTTGTGTCCTCATACCTTAGCTCACTCACTTGTAAGTGAGAATATATGGTATTTGGTTTTCCACACCTGAATTACTTCAGTTAGAATAATAGTGTACAGCTCCATCCAAGTTGCTGAACAGACATTATTTTATTCCTTTTTATGGCTAAGTAGTATTACATGGTTTGTATGTGCCACATTTTTTATCCATTTATTGGTTGATGGGCACTTAGTTTGGCTCCATATCTTTGCAATTGCAAATTGTGCTGCTATAAACATGTGTGTGCATGTGTCTTTTTCATATAATTTCTTTTCCTCTAGGTAGATATAGTGGGATTGCTGGAATTAATGGTAGATCTACTTTTAGTTCTTTAAGGAGTCTCCATACTGTTTTTCCTAGTGGTTTTACTAGTTTATATTCCCACTGGCAGTATAAAAGTGGTCCATTTTCACCACATCCATGTCAACATCTATTGCTTTTTTGGCTTTTTAATTATGACCATTCTTTCAGAAGATGGTATCTCATTGTGGTTTTAATTTGCATTTCCCTGATTAGTGATGTTGAGCATCTTTTCATATATTTGTTGTCTGTTTGTATATCTTCTTCTGAGAAATGTCTATTCATGTCCTTTGCCCACTTTTTGATGTAATTGTCTATTTACTTCTTGCTGATTTGTTTGAGTTCCTTGTAGATTCTGGATACCAGTCCTTTGTCAGATGCATAATTTGTGAGTATTTTCTCCCATTCTGTGGGTTGTCTTGTTACTCTGCTGATTATTTCTAAGGCCTCAAAAGCAAATGCAACAAAAACAAAAAAAAATGTCATTGGTAGTTTGAGAGGTAGAGCATTGAATCTGTAAATTGCTTTGAGCAGTATGGTCACTTTAACCATATTGATTCTTCCTATTTATGAGCATGGAATGTTTTTCCATTTGTTTGTGTCATCGCTGATTTCTTTGAGCAGAGATGTTTTGTAATTCTCATTGCAGAGGTCCTTTGCCTCCCTGGTTAACTGTACTCCTACGTATTTTACTCTTTTAATGGCTATTTCATTTCTGATTTGGCTCTTGGCTTGGATATGCTTGGTGTATAGGAATGCTGCTCATTTTTGTACATTTATTTTGTATTCTGAAACTTTGCCGAAGTTGTTTGTTAGAAGAAGGGATTTTGGGACAGAGATTATTTCTAGATATAGAATCATATTATCTGCAAAAAGGGATAGTTTAATTTCCTCTCTTCTTGTTTGGATGCCTATTATTTATTTATCTTGCCTGATCACTCTGGCCAGGATTTCTAGTACTATGTTGAAATGGAGTGGTGAGAGAGAACATCCTTGTCTTGTTCTGGTTATCAAGGAGAATACTTCTAGCTTTTGCCTGTTCAATTGTGATGTTGACTGTGGGTTTGTCATAGATGGCTCTTATTATTTTGAAGCATTTTCCTTCAGTGCCTAGTTTGTTGAGAGTTTTTAAAATGAAGGATGTTGAATTTTATTGAAAGCCTTTTATGCATCTATTGAAATAATTACTTTTTTTTCTTTAGTTCTGTTTATGTAATGAATCACATTTAGTGATTTGCATATGTTGAACTAACTTTGCATCCCAGGAATAAAGCCTACTTGATTGTAGTGGTACCTTTGTGATATGCTGCTGGAGTTGGTTTGCCAGTATTTTGTTGAGGATTTTTGCATATATGTTTATTAAGGTTATTGGCATAAAGATTTTTTTGTTGTCTTATTGTTTTAATAATGTAAGTGGTTGGTTAAGAATAAGGACTTTGGACTCACATGAACCTACAGTTGATTCCTAGCTCTGCCATAAATTCTTTGTGTATTTTCTGTAATGTGCTAAGATTACCTAGACCTTACTTTTCTCTTCTATAAAATGGAGATGATAATGTAATATTCTAGGGTCACTTGGAAAATTAAATGTCTTATTCAAAGCACTGAATATTGTATCTGGCACATAGTAAATACTCAATACCTGTTTAAATGCATATGTATTATATGTAAATCCTTATTCTTTCAGGATATACAGTACCTAGAACTTGCCAAGTGGCTTTAGCTTCTTTGGTTGATGTTATCCAAAGTGCAATGCTATTTAGGTAAGGTGAATGAGAAAGGCTTTTATCATCACCTGTGCACATGGGCCATTTCATTACTCTTCAGGCCTGAAGCCACAGTTCCACTGGGCTATTGCCTCAGTCATCTCTTTTATTTCTCCTCTTTGTTTACTCATATAAGAAAATGAGTTCTTTTGAATCATTTTAGAAAAAAATCAGAGTTTTTGAGATTTCTTTCTCATAATATAAAGAGGTTTTATGATAAAGAAGGCAAAATGGGACAATTGTCTTTCACTGTTAATTTTAATCACAGGGTTAAATATGTTAAGTGGCTGAGTAATGAATAATTAGGTCTTCATCCAGTGTATCTCTTAATTATTAAAAAAAAAAACAAAGAAAATCACAAACTGTCCAAAAACAAATCTAACAAATTGTTCTTTAATCATTTATGAAACATGTTAATTTGAAAGACATCAGCTTCAATTGATATGGTAGTTTATAAAATCCAAAGCAGTAACATCTCAACACCAGGGCCAAGACAAGGATTACAGCACTTCAAAAAATAATAATAATAATAATACTTTCCTGAGGTGTAAATATATATTTTTTTCTGTCAATAGAAAAAAGCTGAGTAGAATTCTGTGCCTTGCTATTCACATTGATTTTGTACCAAAGGTTTGATAGATTATGCATAGCACCTAGAAAGCAGGAAAGCAGAATGCCCTACGTAGAGCAAATTCTTCATCACTGGGTGCATCCCTGTGGAGATATTGACTGAAAGGAAAACTGCAGTCAGATCAGCACAGCAGGAATACCATGTCATGCTCTGAACACTCCTTGACGGTGTTTCTTCATCTTTTATTTTCAATCAACTATACTGTGGCCTTTCTTCTATTTTTATAGAAACATATACCTTTCAAATTTATATGTACATGTTATATAACAGTCTTAAAAGGACAGTACATTTTTAGAATTTAAAACAATAACAAAATATACAAATTTACACAATGTAGAAGAGTATATAATTTAAATATTCTTAAGGATTTAAGATTCTTAAATAATCCTAAGGATTTTTAAAGTTGGCATTTCTGGATAAAAATATATTTGATACTTAAATCTTTGATATTTAAATTATTTAATATCCTAAGAGTTTTCAAAGTTGGCATTTCTGCATAAAGATATATATATAGCAAATATATATCTTTATGGAGAAATGGCAGATTTTAAAAAATCCTTAAAGTTGCCATTTCTGCATAAATATATATATATAAATCAAATAGATATATAAACCAAATATGTATCTTTATGCAGAAATGGCAACTTTAAAAATCCTTAAGATTTTAAATTCAGTATGAAGTTAAAATTCATCACACTGAATTTAAAATCTAAAATTCACTGATATTTGATTTAAATATCAAATATATATCTTTATCTGGAAATAGCAACTTTAAAAATCCTTAAGATATTAAATGCTTCATGTAAACATAAATGTTTTTATAAATTTTGTATCATACTATAGATACTGTGTTTGTGTTTTGTACTCTGCTTTTAATCTCTTAATGCTTTTTCCCTTGGCATTATATTTTTCGTATTTCCCCTTATTTTTCAGACATATAATGTAAATGAGCAGCTACATAGCATTTCACTGTATGAATCACTCTA
This sequence comes from Homo sapiens, assembly GCF_000001405.40. Lineage (NCBI taxonomy): Eukaryota > Metazoa > Chordata > Mammalia > Primates > Hominidae > Homo > Homo sapiens. The sequence continues at coordinate 102,527,837 of NC_000009.12, forward strand.
ATAAATTATTGTATTCTTGGAAACTTGGGTGTTTTAAATTTTGTTGCTGTTGTTGTTATTTGTACCTCTACAGAGGGATTGTGCTGAGTCCCCAGTGACCCATATGGTAAAGAATGATAAGTATATATTTTCTAATATTAAACTCTTCTTAAACTCCTGGACAAAAATATATTTGGTCTTTTTAAATATAGAGTCAATGAAAAAAATCCTCTTTTACTGCAATTTTTGGGTTTGGCAATATGAAAACTCCACTTTGTAAGAGAGATTTTTTGCTTTTTACACAAAATTGTTCTCTAAATTATTTAAGGCCTATAGACTTTATTGTAAAGATGGATTATGAAATTAGATTACAATACAACAACTTAAATATTACACCAAATATATGTTGTAAATATAAGTGTGTTATTGGTTTATAGTGAATTTTGTTTGAGGGTCTTTGGACCCTAACCTTGAAACCACTGAAACCCACAACAAAAATGTGTTTCAATTCTCCATTAACCCTGCAAGACATAATTTGGATTTATTGAGAAGTTATAGGAAACCAGGATATATGCTTATCTTTTCATAACATTCTCCAAGCTCTAACCCCTATTTAGACTCACAATGAAATACATCCATTAAGATTCCTCATTAGCTGGAGTTTCTTTATAAATGCTTATATTCATTTAGAAGAAAATGAATCTGTTCCACCTTTGAACTTAAAGGATTCGTTTTTCTTTAAGCTTAAGTGATTGTGGCCAATCATTTGTCTAATGCATCACTTTATTTGTTATTTTATGTAGAAATTATTGTTTATACATGAGACCTTTGTCCGTAGCTGTATATTTTAATTCTCAGGTGTTGGTGTGACAGTATGAACATTATCCCACTTTTATATAATTAATTTTTAAAAATTATTGCTTTTCCTTTAGATGAGATCGAATACCCCATTTTTTGTGAAATGCCTTTAAAAGTATATGCTTTAGTCCATTTTTGCTGCTATAAAAGAATGCCTGATACTAGATAATTTATAAATAATAGAGATTTATTTCTCACATTTCTTGAGGCTGGGAAGCCAAAGATCAGTGCACCAGCAGATTCAGTGTCTGAGGAGGGCTGTCCTCTGCTTTTAAGATGATGCCTTGGTGCTGCATCCTCACATGATGGAAGAAAAAGGCAAGGAAGGTGAGAAGGAAGGAGGAGGAAACCCCAACTTCCTTTTGCATAAGGAACACACTCCAGAGATAATGACATGAATCCATTTATGAGGGCAGAGCCCTCACGGCCTAATCCCCTCTTAAAGGTCCCATTTCTTAATATTGTTACAATGGCAATTAAATTCCATCATGAGGTTGGGAGGGGACAAACATTCAAACCATGATCATATAACACTGTAGGCATTTATTTGTGGGTTGGATTTTTCCCATAGATATGTGTTGTACAATCCATGTATGTTTATGTATATAGCTCTGGCTCATTCATTTTAACTGCTATATAATCTTAAATAGCATGAACATTTATTAAAAAAAACTTATGCAAATGGTCAAGGAGAACCTACAGAAATAGCACAGACTGTTGGGAACAATTCTTGAAGACTGGATCAATAACCAGTGTACAGGCTCCTTAATGTCAATTTAACCTACATTCGTTCACACAGAGCTAACAAGGACAGATATTAGACTCCAGGAAAGGACTCTGACTTTTGGGTAGAGATCCTTTATGCCATGTTGTTATGCAAATATCTACTTTCCTCTGCTTTTCCCGTGATCAAGAAAGAAACGATAGCAATGTAACATGATAGGACCTTCCCTCTATCTGTATCCATGTAGTTCAGGGTATTTAGTTAAAGTAGCAACCCTGGTGTGATTAGGAAGCTAGAGAAAGCCCTGATGTTGCAGCTGTATAAAATAGCAATCTGGTGGCAAGATTCACCACATCAGTGTTTACGGTTGGGAAAGTATCAATTCATTCCCTGGTATGATACAGGTTTGGTCAATACTTTGCAGTTAATGAGGATCAATTGCTTATGTACTATGAATAGTTAGTTTTCATGTAGCATTACAGTAAATTAACAGTCTAACTGGAGAAAAATTAACTCTTACCTTTTTTGCCACCCCACTGATCCAAAATTCATTCTCTACCTTATGTGCAATCTGCACTGTTCCAAGCCATAAAGATTTGCTGTGAGATTGTCATTGATATTTCTATAAAAGGGATTGAGGAATGTCTAAAATTTCTAGGGATTGCTGGATGGCTACTTGTGCTGCAGATCATTTTCATGTGAAACAAAACAAAGAAATGGCCACTTTTAACACGAATTCAGGAGGGCCCCATTACCTGACTCCCAAAAGTATAATAAGGCTAGCTATAGCACATTGACAGAGAAAAGTTTAATAAAGATACACAACACTGCTCAGTACTCTTCAAATGACAGAGACTCACTGTTTTTCTCAAGAAAGGAAGAGTTATTGGGCACGGTTTTCTTCGCCTGTGTCCTGGTATCAATTTATAGTTCGTTATAGTGGCAAATACTACCTGGTATAACTCAGTAATGCTTGCCAGGAAGGCACCAGAAGAAAAATAGTGGGCTTAGACACTCTTATATTTTGTTGGGCTATGAAATTGCATTAATAAATTAGGTTCATTCTCAAATGTACTAAGTAATGCCACTATTAAAACAAGAAATGTTGTAACAATATTTGCACACTTCATCAATATACAAAGTTCCTATGACATAAATTCTCTTCAACAGTTGATAATGCTACACTTTTTAATTTTTACCAGTTTTGATAGTATAAAATATATTTTCTCACTTAATAAAGCTAAAATATCTTCAATTAGTAATGATCATTTATTTTACTTTTCTTTGGAATCCAAGTTCAAGTCTTCTGCTTGTTTCTCCATTGTAATTGTTTATTTTTCTTGTTTGTTTTGAAACTCTTTCCAAAACTAGGGAATGATAAAAATACTTCCTAATTCATTTTATGAAGCTAGTGAAACGTTGATACCAAGACCTGAAGAAGGAAATTGCAGACTAATAGCTTTCATTAGCATGTCTGTAAAAATTTTGAACACAACACAAACAAACAGAATTCAGAAAGGCATAAAGAATAATGCACATCTTAACAAGCTATGATTAAGGAAAGAAATATATGTTGACAGATGCAGAAAAAAAACTTTAAAAAAGGTTGATAAAAACCCTTCAAAAACCAGAAAGAAATTGAAACATCCTCAGTCCAAAAAAACACACCTACAAAAATAGTCTAACCACATTGTACTGAGTAGTAAAAAAATTGAATGCTTTCCACCCAAGCTCAAAAATAAGACAGGGATATTTCTCTCACCACTTCCACATATTACCAAAAATTTTAGCAAAGCCATGAGGAAAAAAATCAATATTAAATAATTAATGTGTGAAAGGAAGAAGTAGAACTGCTATCATTCACAAACAATGTGATTATGCATGTAGAAAATTATATGGAATGTATAAAATTTCTACTAGGATTAAGTGAATTTAGCAAGATAGCAAAATGGAAAATTAACAAGCAAAACTCATTGTTATTTCTATATATGAGAAGTTAGCACTATAAAAATGAAATAAAATGTCATTTTAAAATAGCATCAGGAGTCACATATGAAGAATAAGTATAATAGGATATGTACAGGAATTCTATGCTGGAAACTACAAAATATTGCAGAGCAAAGTTGAAAAAGATCTGAAAAATGGAGCGACATACTATCTTTATGGATTGAAGTATTCGATTTTGTAAAGATGTTTATTCTCCCCAAATAGATTTTTAGAATGATACTTTCCCAAACAATACCTTATCATGTTTCTTAAAAGAAACCTACAATATTATTCTAAAATTAAAGTAAAATGTAAGGTATCTGGAATAGACAAAGAGCTTTTAAAGGAAAACAAAATTAGACACTCCAACTACCTTTAAAAAGACTTACTCTAAAACCATTACAAGCAGAGTAATATGGTTTTGGTGACTCATCAAAGTGTCAGGTTAATTCAATGAGAAATATAAAGTCTTTGCTCTTGTTGTTACAGACGGTGCTGGGACGTCTGAAAGTCAATATGGGAAAAAATGAAGCTAGCCCTCATTGTGTGCCATATAATAGAATTATTTGTAGACAAATTGTTTACATATATATAAAAACTAGAGCCCATGTCTTCCACCACGAAACACATCTGATATTATAGTACATTTTGGGTGGGCTAAGACTACCTACATAGGATTCCAAAAGTACTAACTACAAAATAAGATAAATAATAAATTGTATTTAATTAAACTTAATTATCTCTGATTTTAAAATATGCTACTGTTGTCCTAATGTTACATTATTTCTTTGAAGCCAAAAAGATGGCAAAAGAAAATATGTAAAATGTTCAAATAGGCAGTGATATGGAAAAGGCGACACAAAAAACAACTTAAAAAATCTCAGCATCATTAGTCATCTAAAAAATATGCCCACAGAAAAACAATATAGAAGAATGCTCATAGCAACTTTATTATAGCCCAAAATTTTAGAAAATATATTTATCAAAGATTCATGGGTAAACAAAATGTGGCATTTTCATTCAGTGGTATATTTCCTACAAACAGAAAGAAACAACTACTGATACATTCAACAATATGGCTGAAACTCAGCGCCATATGGAGGGAAAGAGGCTAAACACAAAGGGGTATATTAGGCATGATTCTATTTGATTGACGTTCCAGTAAACAAAAACTAATATATGGCTGTAAAAATTAGAAAGTGATTGCCTTCTTGAGGCATGGAGGTCTAGCATTTGCCTGGATAGATACACAAGGAAACTTCCTGTAGCAATGGAAACATAATTTTTCTTGTTTGGGGTGGCAGTTAAACCCATTGAATTAAAGACTTGTGATGAGTGCATCTCACAGTTTAAAGTGTATTCAAACAGCCAAAAAAGGCTATACCAAACTATTTCCTAGAGGATCTCTTATTTACAAAAGCTAACATAAAAATTACTTAGCCTCATCTTATTAATTATCCCAGATAATATTCATCAACATATATTATCTTTAAAATGGTCTTTTTTGCAGCATTACATTATAGGCAACGTAAACATAGGAGGAATTTATAATAAATTTTCATATGTCTATGTTTAGTTTTCATATAACATACTTACAATTAGTTTTTATATAACATATATTTTGATGTAATCTTTTATAAATATTAAAATATGTTAAATTATTTTCATAATAGTTTTCTATTTAAATTCAAAATCGATTTCGTTGATCTAAGAATTCTGGATGAGGTCTGCTATTAGTATTCTGTATCACTGAGTCAAATTATGAAAATAGAGCTACTACATATTTTTTAAATTCCCAGCATCTGAAAGTGTCCATGCTATTATTTTGGTGCCAATAAATATTTCTAAATGTGTGAGTTAGTGGTGTCTGTGAATTGAATGAATTAATTTATAGTTTTTGACTTTTGAAACTCTTCTCTAGTATCCTAATAATCTCAATATGGCCTTTATGTTTTATACTTTTTCTGTTGGGTGCCTAACTTTCTGGCTTAGGACAGTTTCTGGGACTACCATACATATTTTGGGATGAGGAAGCTATATTGAGCACATGCCATATGGTAAGCATCAAATGAATTATGAAGAACATTCCTGTGTTTTCTTCATTTATTCCTAAGCTTTTGAAACATTAGTCCTCAAATTACTGACATCATCTAATATTTTATGCAAAGATGACCTTTCTCCCCTTCTGCACATGCTTTATCAGTCCAAATGACAGTTCCCATAAATATGCCTATGTGTACTGGGGAAAGCAAGCATAATGCTTAGAGGTATAGTTTTGTATGTGTGTATAGCACTGTGTTTTCTAATAGAAACTTGGCAAGTAAAATACATTTTACTGATTGATAGACTAGCTCCTCTTAAAGCTTTGGGAAGGAATGCCCTCCCATCTCATGGCTTTATGCTCTCATTTGCAATATATGGAATAAGACCACTACACAAGTTCTATCTCTGATCAAAAACTCTTACTCAATATTTGGTATGAAGTCACTTTGCTCATGATTGAGTCTGTTTTTTAGAAAAAAAAAATAAGTTTTTTAAGCATTCTGTAAAGGCTGGCAACTCTGGATTCCCTGATCTATCAAAACTAACTTACAAATGATTACAAAAATTTAGAAACTCAGTCAAGGCAGGTCATTGGATAAAAGGTTTTTTTATTTGTTTTTGGTAATTGCAACTTCACTTCTGAGGATATGAACCTCCAGCTGTCATATGTATGTGACTAATTCAATGCCTTCCAGCCATTAAGGATGCCCCGCTACGTTTCTGTTTTCTGGCAAAAATAGAAGATAGCTTAACACAACATCTTGGCATAAGATTACTGGCATAGAACAGCAAAACACATGCAAATTGGCAAGAAAAATACCTTATGTATGCAACCATTTCCAAAAACAGCAGATGCAAAGCCAAATTCACCTTACCAGATCCTGTAGTATGCACATGCACAAAAATGTAATACTTGTCTAACTTAGTGTTATTCTGAATCTAGATTTAGATTCTCATTTTCATTTTCTTGAGGAAAGTAAAAGCACTTTTTTATAATTTGAAATGATAAATATTTCTGTCTATACATTTATTCTGGTAAGTATAAATTTATGATACTGCACATTCAACATTTGTCTCACATTAATAAATGCTAAGTGTGATGGTTGGTTTTATGTGTCAACTTGACTGGGCCATGGGATGCCCAGATATTTGGTAAAACATTACTCTAGATGTGTCAGAGAGGATGTTTTGGGATAGGATTAACATCTGAATTGATAAACTGAGTAAAGCAGATTATCTTCCCTAATATGCAGGGCTCTTACCCAATCAGCTGAAGGCCTAAACAGAACAAAAATGCCAACCCTCTGGAAGTTAAGAGGGGATGTATCTTGCCTGAACGCTTGAGCTGAAGCATCAGTTCTTTCCTACCTTCAGACATAGGCTGAATTGTTGGCTCTTCCTGGGTCTTCTGCCGGCCAGTTTTTAGACAGGAAGTTATGCCATCAGCTATGCTGGTTCTCAGGCCTTCAGACCCCCCACTGGAAGTGTACCAGTGGATCTCCTGGGTCTCCAGCTTGCTGACTGCCGATATTAGGACATTTCAGCCTCCCTTATCACATGAGCCAATTCCTGATATTTATCTCTTTTTATATATGAACATCCTTTTCACTGTTTTTCTGAAAAACCCTAATACAGGTTTTATATATTTTATATTATATATGTATATATTTCATACACTCACATATTATGTTTCCTCCAAATTGAGCTTGTGGCCTAGCATTTAATGATGCATTAATCTCGAGTCTACTTATCATTTTCTGGTGGCATAAGTATAATTTATTTTTTCATGAGACATAAGACCCCCATTCCATTTCAATGAAAGTAGCTTTCCCACCCTCAGAGTCCTCTCTTATGCCTGTCTATTAAATTTTTCCAGCAAAAATTACTGCATTTACTGTATTCACACCTTTGGAAGCTCCTTTTAACTGTTGTAATAACAATAGCATGGTGTGTGTGAGTAGTGTGCATGTGTGTTTTATAGTATAAAATTATGCTGATTTTACAGGTTCACCAATTTTCCTTTTAAAGAACGTTTTTGTTATGTTCATTATTTTGCTTACTTACTTTATAGACATGCTAAGTCATGGGAAATAATGCTTTCATTGGATTTTCTTATTTATTCTAACCTCAGTGAATTTATCATAGATACAGAAACCAACCTCAAAAATCGAAGGATTGCTTTATTTTTCATTCACCTGCCATTCAATTGTTAAAAAGGTGAAGTTGACTCTACCTCTTTAATATTGTTCATACCTTCTTTGTAAGCATTGCCCCAACTGAGACTTTAATAATCTCACATAGAAATTGCATGTCTCTCAAGTATTCTTTTTGCCTCTATTTGCACTTACTACAGATGCTAGAATAACTTTTCCAAAACTAAATTATATCTGTGCCTTATTTAAAAGAACTCTCTGTTGTCCACAAAATTAAATTCAACCTACTTAATATGATATAAAAATCTCCATATTTTACCCACTCTCTACGTTTGAATACTTACCTAGCAAGTTTATGCTTCCACCTGGCTTTCTGTACATCAAAACAACTTTTAGATGCAAGAATGTGCCAAATTACATTATTCACAATAGCAAAGACTTGGAACCAACCCAAATGTCCAACAATGATAGACTGGATCAAGAAAATGTGGCACATATACACCATTGAATACTATGCAGCCATAAAAAATGATGAGTTCATGTCCTTTGTAGGGACATGGATGAAATCGGAAATCATCATTCTCAGTAAACTATCGCAAGAACAAAAAACCAAACACCGCATATTCTCACTCATAGGTGGGAATTGAACAATGAGATCACATGGACACAGGAAGGGGAATATCACACTCTGGGGACTGTTTTTGGGTGGGGGGAGGGGGGAGGGATAGCATCGGGAGATATACCTAATGCTAGATGACGAGTTAGTGGGTGCAGTGCACCAGCATGTCACATGTATACATATGTAACTAACCTGCACAATGTGCACATGTACCCTAAAACTTAAAGTTAATAAAAAAAAAAAAAAGAATGTGCCAAATTAGAACTACCCTTCTTAGAAAATAAGGCTTCTTGAGATTTCCTTATTCATTGTTGATTTCCAGTGTACCTGTGGAAGTTTTTTTGAGTCATTGGCAGAGAAACCTTCAGGAACCTTATATATATTTTTCTTAATATAATTCGATCATGAAATGTATAATATCTGAGTACTTTCAGAAATTCTTTCAAGACTATAAGACTTTTAGATATTCATTTTAGACTATAAATTCTTTGATAAAATAGCTTTCTCTTTGAATTCCTAGATAATTTCTTCATGTAATGAATTCTGTCCTTTAATTAAGTTTACTAGGCCTTTGAATTCAGAAGATCAGTTTATCATTTCTGACCACAGCTGACCAAATCCCGCCTAATGGAAAAATAAGAAGCCTCTAATCCAAAAAATATTGCCGAACACACAGCACAAAGTCTCTCACTAACATCATCCTTAAATAGTTGGATTTTTAACACACTCTATGAGGAATAATAAAATAGCTATTGTTTTGGGCATTAGCTTTTGATTACCTTTAGGTAACCAATATTCCTGACAGTCATGTGAACTTCTATAGCTGTGCTGGAAAATCATTTAGCACTATCTACTAACCCTGAACTTGTGTAACCTATCACTTAACAGTTCCATTCCTAGGTGTATACCTAATAGAAATGTGTACGTATTTATAACAGCATTTGTTGAAATAGTCAAAAACTACAGACAATTCAAATGTCTAACAACAAAAGGGTAAGTAAAGTGTATTATATTCCTAAAATACAATATCATCTAGCAATTAAAATGGACAAGCTGTAGCCTTATACATCAATGTGGATGAATCTTGCAAGCATGGGTGAATCAAGCAAGAAGAAAGGAAGCCAGATACACCATAGTACACACCACATGACTCCTTTAAAAATAAACAAACAAACGAAGACAGGCAAAACCAATCAATGGAATCCTAGAGAGCTGTCAACTTTGTGGAAAGAGCTGGACATAGGCAACAAAATCACCTGGAAATGATCTATTTCTATATAGGCATACTCACTGTGCAATAATACACTGGGCCCTGCACTTACAAGTGGTGCATTTTCCACGTGTGTATTATACTCTCAAAAGAGGCTTAAGAATAGGAAAGCGTTTCTAATTTTATTTTTTTAAAGATTCTAGTGACTATTGTGTCTGTGTTTCCAGAATTAAACAGTCACTGAAAAGAAATACTTTTGAGATAAGGAAGTTGAAAAACATTGAAAATATGATGCCTAAATAAAATAAAAAAGAATGTAAGGAGCAGTTAGGGTATTAAGCATAATAAAACTGGTGAAGTAGAAGAAAAATTTTAAAACTTTATGCAAACCAAAGTGTTAAAGCCAAAGGTAAATAAGATGAAATTTAGATATGAAGACAATAACATTAACTCTTAATCTAATGGGATTCCTAGGAAAAATATCAGATGAGATAGAACAAAAGCAATATTGAAATTAATTAGCTAAGTAAACAAATTTAATAAATTTAAGAAAATTATCTAATTAAAAGAAATTCCTGGCTATAGATAACATTTAATAAAAATAACATCTTCATTACAAAGACGGTATAAAAAATAAAATTTTCCGGCCAGGCATGGTGACTCACACATGTGATCTCAGCAATTTGGGAGGCCGAGGTGGGCGGATTGCTTGAACTTTGGGGTTCCAGACCAGCCTGGGTAACAGGGTGAAACCCCATCTCCACCAAAAAAAAAAAAATTCTGGGCATGGTGGTGCCTGCCTATGGTCCCAGCTACTTTGGAGGCTGAGGTAGGAAAATCGCTTGAGCCCAGAAGGCAGGGGTAGCAGTGAGCCATGATTGCACCACTGTACTCCAGCCTGGGTAACAGAGCGAGACCCTGTCTCAAAAATTAAAGTAAAATAAAATATAAAATAAAATAATCTAGAAGGGAACACTATTTTCTTCCAAAGATTATTGTTCTACCCTTCCAAATATTAAAAAAAAAAATAGAATCTGTGGGGGAAAAAAACCCCTAAAATTTCAAGCCCAATTTGTCACTCCTATGCAAGGTAATCAAAACGTAATCTCATATACCCATAGGGCCAGAAAATTTACTCATACAATAGTCTTACCATAAAACAAAATACTCTTAAATAGACTTTGGCCAATTATTAGAATTATTAGAAGTCAATCTGAAGAAGTAGAGACTTGATAAACATTGAAATCAAAAGACAATGTACAATGAAATGACTAGAGATATTTAAATAATAATAGTTAATATTTTTAAGAAATGTTGCAGGTAAATTATTATCAAAAAAACCTATTAATAATTGAGCAAATAGCTTGTTTAAATTTACTAGTTAGAAAGATAGGACCCATTATATAAGCACTTGATAGTAAGAGGTAAGAAAAATAATGCTAGATTCATCATCTTAATTTATGAGGCTGTAGTCCATACATACAAGTATAACTTTGTAGGTTCAAGTAGGTCTTATACATACTTATGACTATTCACTAATGGAAACATAAACTATGTAACTTTAAAGTAAATGTAAAAGAAGTCCAAATAAGCAATATAGATATAGCCCATATATTAAAAGACACAGAATTAAGAGAATTATATAGTGAATGTAAAAAATTAAGAACCAGAAACATAACTTAAGACCAAGAAACAAAAATATAATACTGATAAGAGCTCTTTATTGAGTATTCATTATTTTGAATCATATCTTTTCTTATACAACATATCTTTTCTCATAAAACTCATTTATGTAGGTGAAACTGTACTCATTTTGCAAGCAAGAAAATTTAGGCCTAGAGTAATTTAGTAAAATATAAAACCATAGAGTTAGAGGTACTGAGACCACGATTGAAACAAGGTCTAATAATGCCAAAGCCTGCACTCACGGTCACTGTACTTTATAGTCCTTTATTGAAACTATTTACAATTAAAAACAAAATCAAAGTGACAGGTTAACAGTAAAATATTTGACACATGTTTATCAGGTAGATACTAACAGCAGCAAACATAAAATATATCATAAGGGCTAAGATACTATTAAACAACATTGGAATAAATAGAACATTTATACAAGGTTACTTTAATACTAATAAGGCATATTAGTCACTTCTGAAATATTATACTCATTATTATTTTAGCATTACATATAATGCTAAAAATGTGAACACCAAAGAGAAATTGACAAAAAGATATTTCTTGGAAACCTGAAACATATTTTCAGTAAAACACTAGAGATGTAGGCATAATAAACCTAGAATTGTTTATAGAAATAAAGAATATTAAATAGAGTAAACACACATATATAAAATATTCCATGTTTGTTGTAGCAAACAAACATTTTCCAGGATGCTACCCCTTCCAGTTCTCTGCCCATAGGCTGTTTCTTGCAAAGATATAAATAAATTAAAATAACAAAGGTGATTCTCTATTTTGTTTATATTTTGATTCTGACCTGTCTTTCATTGTTGCCAGAAGAATCAAATTTCTTGCAACCCTAGCAAAAGTGGCCTCCCCAACCTCAGTGATAGCAGCCTCCCCAACCACACTGGTATAAGTATTTTCCCTTCCTCTGAGGGAATTAACTCTGCATTGCTCGAGAAAGCAGTAATGACCTCCACTGCGGCAGTGGCTATGTAAGGCAATGTTGATTCTCCCCCCACCAGCCCCTTTGTTTCCAGACCTATAAGTAGACAAGAATCCCAGAAGGACCTTATAGGTGAGATACAAAGTGTTACCTGTGAGGAAGTGTATTCCACTCCCCCACCAAAAAAAATCTTTGGAATATATACAAGCAGAAATCGGGCGAATATGTGTGGGAATGCCTATTAAGGGTATAGGATAATGGTGGAAGGAACATAAAGATTGAACAGGCCAAATTATTGATATATTGGCCCACTAAACAGGAATTATTTTTTATTGTTGCTGCTCATGGAGTTAGAAAGGTCTCTAGCAGTATGGTTAGTTTGCTGAAACATACATCAAAATGGTCCACCATGAGTGAATTGGAGATGTTGAACCTCTCTTGGTTTCATGCAGAGGAAGGCATTCAAAGATCATTGAAGCGTTAGAGTGGATTTGTCATTTAAGACCTACCCTCCCACACTGGGAAGGTCCAGAAGGCATGTCTTTCACCAATACTTTTAGAAAGGAATGTGAGGAGAGCACTAGCCAGCATCTGCCAAGAGGTCTGCAATCGCTCTCTTTTCTGTATGCTAGAACTGTAGCTACTGAAATGGAAAATCTTAATGCAATGGAACTTTTTGTGTCCTGGGGGTGGCAGGGGCCAAGCAGCACTACTCAATTGCCAGGGGCAAGGTGGGTATAGTTACAGTAATGGATGTCAGAGTCAAAGCAGCATTCAGAATAGCCTGACTCATGTGGATGTATGGTGTTGGCTTATTAACTGTGGTAGTCCTAGAAGTGAAACAGATAGGAAGTCTGCTAAATTCATACTTATCTAGATAAGCAGAAAAGTTCCAGGTCAAGTGAACAAAAATATAACTCAACCATAAAAACAGAGAGTGAAGGCCTCTCAATCAATTCCCACGCTTAAACTTTTCTCTCTAAATCAACCCTTTTGCCTTCATGGAAGAATCCCCTATTTTACAGATCCAGAACATGTTTAAGGAAAGCGAGGACAGATCTCCTTGAGAAACAAACTTAATATATGTTACTGAGGCCTGACACTGTTAATTTTCCTTCTAACTTTTCCCAAAGGTTCATATAGCCTTCTACTACAGTAACTAAACATAGGGAAAAGAAAATAATCAGATCTTTTGGGAACTACTGGACACTGCCTCTGAACACTGAATCTAGGAGACCCAAAACGTTACTGTGACTTTCTACTTAGAGTAGGAACTTATGATGGTCAGGTGATCACTGGAGTTTTAACTCAGGCCCATTTCACAGTGGGTCCCCATACCCACTCTGGTTATTTCCACAGTCACAGATGCATAATTGCAACAGACATATTTAGCAGCTGGCAGAATACCACATGGGTTCCCTGACTTGTGGAGTGAGAACCATTATAGTGAGAAAGGCCAAGTGGAAGCCATTAGAACTGCCTCTACCTAGGAAACTAGTGAATCAAAAACAATACTGTATTCCTGGAGGAATTGTAGAGATTAGTGCCACTCTCAAGGACTTAATGTAGCGATGGTGATTCCTACCACCTACACATTCGACTTTCCTATTTGCTTTATGCAGATGACAACCTCTTGGAGAATTCTGGATTATCATAAGCTTAACCAAATAGCGATTCCAATTGCTGTCACTATAGCCAATGTGGTTTCATTGCTTAAGCATTTTAACACATTGCGTGGTACCTGGAATGTGGTTATTGATCTGAAAAATGCCTTTTTCTTTATCTCTGTCCATTAAGATCCACCGGAAGCAGTGCACTTTCAGTTAGCAAGGACAGCAATGCCTTCACTGTCCTTCCTCAAGGGTATATTAATTTTCTAGCTGTAGTTCATAATTCAGTTCATAGGGATCTTGATTCCCTCTCCATTCTACCAGATATCACACCAGTCCATTATATTTATGATATTATGCTGATTGGTAAGACATTTGAATATCATAGAGTGACTAAATTCAGGGACCTTTCATCACAGTGAAATTTCTAGGGATCCAGTAGTATCAGGGATGTCAAGATATCCCTTCTAGAGTGAATAATAAGTTGTTGTATCCTCTCTACAACCAAGAAAGAGGCAGAACACCTAGTGGCCTATCTGGTTTTCAGAAGTGCCATATGCCTTATTTGAATGTGTTTCTCCATCCCATTTACCAAATGACCCAAAAAGCTGCTAGTTTTTTGAGTGGGGCCTATACGAAGAGAAAGCTCTGCAGCTCATTTAGGCTGCTGCATAAGCAGGTCTGCCACTTAGGCCATATGATCCAGCAGATCCAATGGTGTTTGAAGTGTTAGTGACAGATAGAGATGCTCCTTGGAGCCTTTGGTAGGACTCTGTATGTGAATCACAGTGAAGGCCTCTAGGATTTTGGAGCAAGATCCTGACATCATCTGTAAATAACTATTCTCCTTTTGAGAGACAGCTCTTAGCTTGCTACCGGGCCTTAGTAGAAGCTGAACATTTGACTATGGGCCATATATTTACCATGCAACCTGATCTACCTACTGTGAACTATATGGTAACTGACCCACCAAGCCATAGAGTCTGGGGTGCATAACAATAGTCCATCACTCAATGCAAGAGATACATGATCGGTCCTGAAGAAGCCCCAACTGCACAAATAAATTATATGAAGAAGTGGCCCAAGTGCCTGTAGTTTCCAGTCCTGCTACACTGCATCTTCTCTCTAAGTCAACCCCTATGGTTTCATGGAGGAATCTCCTATTTTTGTTTTGTTTTATTTTATTCTGTATATTTCTCATTGGTGCCAGAAGAATAAAATTCCTTAACAATTGTATTATTCCTCTGCCATCCCTTTTGTTTATTTCTCCAACTTAAATTCTGCTAGTAGGTAAGCACTTTATTCAAAATATTATGGAAGTTATTTTGGGGATTGCATTGCTTTCATTAAATTTGGTTGCATTTTCCACTCACTTGCTGTCTGAACATGTGATAAACCAAATAATAGAGCATAATAACTGTGTTTATTTTATATTGTATGTCTTTATTATATAGCCATATTGACATATGCCCTATTACGTTTCAAATAAATAAGAGGGATGATATAGAGATGTTCAAGGGTAAAATAATTAACTTCGTGTATAAGAGTAATAAGTAGAATATTCAATTTATTAAATTTTCAAACCCTCTTATGTGTTAATTTCCTCATACACTAGAATGTTCTAACTTTTTAGTAACATTCTGATAAAAGGAAATAATCCTCTTTGCCATATGGAAACAGTAGAGACAAACATCATAGTTTGTGGTGAATATAATATTTTTCTAGTGTCCATTCAACCCAAGAAAAGCTTGTATCAATCCTTTTTGTAGGACAATGTTTTAATAATAGTGTAAAATGTTTACCATAGACTCTAAAAATGTTGAAGAACCAAATTCTAATTCTCATTCTATATAATAAGCATTTTAAATTCTGTTTTGTTATCTTGCATAATAGCATATAATAGTATATAATAGTAACATTTTCTGAGTACACACATATAGAATGAGTAAAAATCAAGTTACATCATATAACTGAGTATATTTTCAGCTTCATTAAAAATTTGATGGGCTCTGTAAGAAAACTTACGATGCATTTTACTATTTAACTTTCACAACCTTCGTCATCTTTAAACATAGGAAAGAGGCCAAGATAGGCAAAATAACCTGTATAATTGCAAATCTGTAATTCAAGTCCAGTTAATATAATTCATATCCCACTGCACTTGCTATTACATACTTGTATTTGTAATCCACTTCACAATCTACAATTTGTTTTTACTAGCTTTAATTTTCAAAGCAGGTTTGTAAGATGAGTGAAGCTGCCATTATTTCAACCTTTAGGATTTCAGCAAAGTCAGGGTCATATAGCAAAATTATGGAGTAAGAAAATGAACAAAACCTTTTTATAACAAATTCAGTGTCTTCTAGATTATAAGAAAGACTCTCCATCATTCCTCCTTCACTTGTTTTATTTCCTTTCCTTATTCCTCTAGCACATTGTTTTCTTCCTCCCCTACCTACCACCTATTTTTAGTGCCAAATGTGCCGTATTTAGCTTTTCTCTTTTATGGAAAAGAAAATGGACTTCAAACTGGACAAGATAGGAAAAACAATAGTAAGTGAATATAGAAGCTCAAGTATGAGAGAAAATAATAAAAGTTAACCTTGCACTTTTAATAAGCCCTAGTCATTAGCTCCAGTTGAACTAAAGGATAACATTATAAAAGTTGGAGTTAGATGTGCAAATGATTATACCCAGTTGCTTGAATGTAGTTCAAAAAATTGATTAAAAGACTTCCCTCATTCCAGAAGAAGAGCAGAGAATTCTGGTCATCAGCCTTTCTTTCTCTGATTTGGATACAATTTTAAATTGTTTGACAAATGTGTATTTGTATACTCCAGAGCAGAAATAAATACTTTTATCTACTGGGAATATTAATACACATACTACTCAAATATAAAACAAATCATAGAAAAATGCAAAGTTTTATACTTATGTAGCCAAAGATGATATATAAGTTCAGAATAGGAATACCAGTTGGAAGCTTCTTTTATAATTATATTTTACTAGGAATAGCCAGAGTTCCTACTGACATGAATAATTAAATCATTCATTTATTCATTCATCAAATATTTATTTGTGACTGTTATGTACCAGACACTGTCTAGGCACTGGGGATATCAATGAACAAAGGCAAAGCTATTTACATAATAAAATAATATTAGATGATTATATTACTTTTCTATTCAAGAAAGGTTTTCTCCAGAAAATATTAAATGAGACTTTTAGAAATATGTTTTATTTAAATAACTAATAGTGTGAAAGTGGATTTCTCAATGAATATAAATACCTAGGTGAAATTAAGCAGTAGTCTTTTCTGTATTATTGAAAATTTGAACAGAAGTTATTTTGGACTAAATGTGTTTTGGGGAGGAAATTTACTTGTTCTTTTTAACCTCATTTTTTGGTCAGTATCACATTTGGCAATAGAAAGTATTATAGCTTAGTGGAAAATAAGTCATATTCTGGAGTCTTCCAGACTTGGTCCAAATTCCAGTCTTGTCACAGAGCTAGTATATGACCTTGATTACTCAATATTTCTATATCTTAGTTTCTTATTCATAAACTGAGTTAATTATAGAACATATTTCACTACATTGTTATGAGTATTAAATGAGACATTACATTTACAATATGGGGGTAATATTAAAACTAAAAATACCACTATTATTGTTATTATTTCAGACTGAATATTAAGTTGAACGTGTACTTGAATCTAGGGTAAATTAAATAGAGCTAGCTATGTGTAAGAAGTAAATGATTTAGAACACAGTTTTACTAGATCATATGATAACGTTGTCTCAAGTGTATATAACAGAGTCTATCAGTGCAGTGAATTAGTCTTTCAATGACACAGTTCTAAAAGTTGACCAACTGAAACACGGAGTAATCACAGTGCCTTTCCAAACATTGTAAGATATTTATATACTATAAAACAGACAGTTCCTTAATTATGCCAACAACTTTGATACTATTTTGAATTTCCTATCTTAAGTGTGCTGACACAAATGCTTAGCATGATGCTGGGAAGAGAAATGATAGAGGACAACTGTCATATGCACCTTACCTGGGCTAAGGCATATTCCTAATAGTAGATGAGCCCATGCATACAGTAGGTAGCTCCTGAAGGGTGAGGAGAAAGATCAGATGAACATGTAAACTCATAAAGCACTATGAAGCATATTTTGATGTCTTTAAACTTATATTTGAAAATTGTTATTTTTATTGTGGAATAGGGATGTACAGCAGAAATGGAGGGAAAGGCTTCTTAGAGTGAAAAAAAGCAATTTCTAAAGAAAAATATAATTTAGAGGGTATCATTTAATTTCAGTAATTCTCTTGGTTAAATCACTCTTTGTAAAATATTTGCAAACTAAAGCTTCTTATATTATTTCTATTGAGAAAGAGTTTTCAAGCTCACAAATGTCTTATAAATGAAATTGTGATACACAGCCCTTTTATATGTTGAAACTGCTTACATACTGCCAGTGAGTTTTAAATAGCAATGAGTCCAGCTTACTCACACAATAAAAAGCTGTCTTTTATGTTCTCTTAATTAGAGTTCAGGTTATTCTCTTGATACTTAAAATTATGGATAATACTTGTACTAGGAAAGCCATAATGAATTTCTGATGATGGTTAAGAGTATGGGATCTTGGGAGTAGTTGCCCTCAGCAAGAAAACCAAAATTTTTTGTCTGTAAATAGACTAACATAATTTTGTGTTCTTCATGGTATTATCACTAACTGATAATAAAACCTTATTAGAGATTCACAGATGAACATTTTAAAAGACATCATGATTTTACATAACACCGTCACATTTTTGGTTTATTTATTTTTGTATAAGTATTTGCCAAGTACTTTTCATCTATCCCTTTTAATTATGGATAAAATATTTTGCCCTTAAAGAAGTGACTACAAGTTAGACAATGTTAGCAAAATTATGTTTTCTATTTGTTTTTCCTAGAAGAGTAAGGAGCTTCTTCATAATTTGATCTTTTTTCCAAAACTAGACACTAGGTCATAAATGTACAGAATTACATTAGATCTGGAGGAGAAGGTAGACAATGTGGAAATTATGATCTAGACAATAACATCATCTTCTCCTCAAGGAATATACTCTCAATACCTAATAGGTCTTGAGAGTGATGTGAAACTTGCTTTGTTCATTCAACACTTCGTTTTAGAGATCTATCCATGTATAAGCTTTCAAATTTAGATAAACATCATTCATTTTACTTTCCACGTTGCATTTTGAATATATATAAAGCAATATTTTAATTCATGTTTTCACTTATTAGACATTTGTGTTGTTTCCACTTTTTTTCTGATAGAAACCATACCTATGGGAGCATCCTAATACATATCTCTGGTATACATGTGTAGGAAATTTTTCTAGACAAAAATACAATTAGAAACAGAAGTGCAGGGTCTTCGAATTCTATTTAAAGTGGTTATAATAACATTAGCCATGACCTATCGTTAATTTCCTGTTTATTCATTGACATGGTCTGGCTCTGTGTCCCCACCCAAATCTCATCTTGAATTGTAATTCAAATTGTAAAGCCCATGTGTTGGGGGAGGGACCTCGTGGGAGGCAATAAGATTACGGAGGCAGTTTCCCCATGCTGTGCTCCTGAAAGTGAGTGAGTTCTCATGAGATCTGATGATTTTATAAGGGACTTTTCCCTCTGCCACCATGTGAAGAAGGATGTGTTTGCTTTCTCTTCTGCCATGGTTTTGAGTTTCCTGAGGCCTCCCCAGACATGTGGAACTGTGAGTCACTTAAACCTCTTTATTTTATAAATTACCCAGTCTCAGGTATTGTTTCATAGCAGCATGAAAATGAACTAATATGGTAAATTGGTACCAGGGGTGGGGCACTGCTATAAAGGTACTAAAAAATGTAGAAGGCAACTTTGGAACTAGGTAACAGGCAGAGATGGAACAGTTTGGATGGCTCAAAAAAAAAGACAGGAAAACGTGGAAAAATTTGGAACTTCCTAGAGATTTGTTGAATGGCTTTGACCAAATGCTGATAGTGATATGGACAATGAAGTCCAGGCTGAAGTGGTCTCAGTTGGAGATGAGGAACTCGTTGGGAACTGGAGCAAAGGTCACTCTTGCTATGCTTTAGCAAAGAGACTGGAGGCATTTTGCGCCTGCCCTAGAAATTTGTGGAATTTTGAACTTGAGAGAGATGATTTAGTATATCTGGCAGAGAAAATTCCTAAAGAGCAAAGTGTTCGAGAAGAAGCAGAGCATAAATGTTTGAAAAATTTGCAGCCTCTGTTAATGTGATAGAAAAAGAAAAACTCATTTTCTGAGGAGAAATTCAAGCTGGCTGCAGAAGATTGCATAAATAATGAAGAGCTGAATGTTAATCATCAAGACAATGGGGAAAATGTCTCCAGGACGTGTCACAGACCTTCAGGGCAGCCCCTTCTATCACAGGCTCAGAGGCTTAGAAGGGAAAAATGGTTTCCTGGGCTGGGTCCAGGGCCCCCCTGCTCTGTTCAGCCTCATGGTATGGTTCCCTACATTCCAGCCATACCAGCCATGGCTGAAAGGGGCCAACATACAGCTAATGCTGTTGCTTCAGAGGGCAGAAGCTCCAAACCTTGGTGGCTTACATGTGCTGTTGGGCCTTCAAGTGCACGGAAGTAAACAACTGAGCTTTATTAACCTCTGCCTAGATTTTAGAGGATGTATGGAAATGCCTGGATATCCAGGCAGAAGTTTGCTGCAGGGGTGGAGCCCTTGTGGAGAACCTCTGCTAGGGCAGTGTGGAAGGGATATGGGGGTTGGAGCCCCAACACAAAGTCTCCACTGAGGCACTGTCTAGTGGATCTATGAGAAGAGGGCCACCATGTTCCAGGTCCTAGAATGGTAGCTCCACCAATTGCTTGCACTCGGCAGCAGAAAAGTCAGACACTCAACACCAGCCCATGAAAGTAGCCAGGAGTGGGGCTGTACCCTGTAAAGCCATAGAAGTGGAGGTGCACAAAGCCATGGTAAGCCACCTCTTGCATCAGCATGACATGGATGTGAGACATGGAATCAAAGGAGATCATCTTGGAAATTTAAGGTTTAATGACTGCCCTATTGGATTTCAGGCTTACATGGGGCCTGTAGCAATTTTCCCATTTGGGATGGGTGCATTTATCCAAAGTCTGTACCCCCACTGTATCTAGAAAGTAACTAACTTGCTTTCAATTTTGTAGGCTTATAGGTGGAAGGGACTTGCCTTGTCTCAGATGAGACTATGGAATTGGACTTTAGGGTTAATGCTGAAATGAGTTAAGACTTTGGGGAACTGTTGGTCAGGCATAATTGCATTTTAAAATGTGAAAAAGATGAGATTTGGGAGGGGCGAGGGGCTAGGGGTGTAATGATATGGTCTGGTTCTGCATCTCCACCCAAATTTCATCTTGAATTGTAATCCAAATTCTAATCCCCACATGTTGTGGGAGGAACCTTGTGAGAGGTGATTAGATTATGTGTGCAGTTACCCCATGCTGTGCTCATAATTTTGAGTGAGTTCTCATTAGATCTGATGATTTTGTAAGGGACTTTTCACCACTTTGCTCTGCACTTCTCTCTCCTGCCACCATGTGAAGGATGTGTGTGCTTCCCATGACTGTAAGTTTCCTGAGGCCTCCCAAGCCATGCAGAACTGTGAGTCAATGAAATCTCTTTTCTTTATAAATTAGCCAGCCTTGAGTATTTCTTCATAGTATCATGAAAATGAACCAATACATTCATATTCTGATGATAATTGATACAGTTAAACTTTTTGACTATCCCTAATGAAATTCATCTAACACTATCACATTGTTGGTTCAATTAGCATTTTCTTGATTACCAGTGATACAAAATTTTTATTTATTTTATATTTATAAAATATTATAATTTGTATAATATTTTATTTTTAATGGCAATTTGTTTTTCTTTTGGAAATTGAACACTTGCAGTATTCTTCAGGTATTGAAGTCTTAGTTATTTATTGGTAATATGTATAAATTCCTTATACATACATACCAATTTTGTGCTTGGAAACCTGTTTCCTGTAACTTCATCTACCCCATCTTGTGATCTTACACCATTGTCCTCCCATGTGCATATTTAGAATCAGTTTGTCTAATTACAGAAGTAATCACATCTTAAAGAGTAAAATGGGAAAATGTGAAATGATTACTGATGTATCCATAAATCATAGGGATATTTTGATATCATTCACACTAAAGGTTATAAGACAAACCTATGCTAAAATAAAAAGGAGGACAGATAATAAGTATTTTAGCTTTTCAAGCCACACGTCTCTGTTTTTTGTTAATTAAGATGATTTTTAAAAAATAAAATAGACACATGTATTTAACTATGTAAAAATGCCATTAAAAGACACTTCAATTATGATACTGCAAAAAAAATCACTGAATAAAATGTTAAATAAATAATATTACAGTCTGAGTGCTTTTGAGTTGTAGGAAAACACATTTTCTGATGTAATATATATTGTTAAACTACAAATTTCACAGTGTATAATCAGTTATGTGGAATTTGCCTGAATTTTGAAGTCTGAAAGTTCACTAATCAATAAATATTAGTAAGATTAGCCTGGTTTTTCTCTAACTTGTATAGGCTGAACACAGCTTATTTTTTTTTAAATTCTCATACAAAAATTACAGTTATCCTAAGATTGATGACATACATGAAAACTCTAAGGCTAGAAGGAGGAAACACTGCATTGAAAATAGGTTTTTGAAAGAGAAGGTGGTTTGCATTAGTCATGTGCAATTAAACCAGTGTTAAAATCAAAGTACAATAAATGCCAGGAGTCCAGCCCTGTTTATCTATGAGTTAGTGATGCATGAGATAGGATATTCAAGGTGGTAATGTGAAATGTAACCATGTGAAAAAAGCCAAGATCACTCATAAGGAGCTTCTAGTGATTTAAAGTATAGTACATTCTACTATGGAATTCTAATGTAGTTATTTTACCCATACTACCAATGGTACTTATATTAGAGCTTTTTTTAATTTCATGGGTCAAATTCAAATATGGTCCTATGTGTTCACAGTAGTTTCACTCAACATTAAAAATATAACTTGGAAACACTGTTGATTATTTTGATCACTGTGGATTATTTTGATCACTGTGTATTGTCATACAGATGCTGCTCAAGGCTGCCCAACTGAGGAAGAGAGCCAGTGCTGAAATTCAGCCCAAGTTGTTTGCCAAGCCCATACCCAGGCACAAGGCTGTACAAGCTAAAAAAAAATGCCTTTCTTATAATCCCACAAAAATAAAATATAAACTAATGCTGGCCTGATTTAGCTTTTCTCATGATCATCATTATATCATGATCTCCTTACAGTATTAAAGGTCAATACAATAGCATAAAGAAAATACGCAATTGCAAAGTCCAGAATACCAAAACTGTGACGTAAGTTAATTAGCACCCTCTGGAACAGGATGTAATCTTAAAAATGCCAGATCACTTAACTTTCTAGGCCACATTTCAAATTAATTTGCTTTGTAGGTTAATCTCGATATTCCACCAACAACTTAATCCAGTAGAATTAAAACCAAATTTATAATCTATTTACCCCAATATGCTTCTCCTCCTAGCATTTTGTTTAAATGATCTCATTTTATATCAAACAACTTAATAGTCCATTAGTATCACTTACTCTTTCCTGTCACATTTATTTGATATTTGACCAGAACACCATTTCTTAGAGCCTCCTTCATCTAATTCTTTACATGCCTTCCTACTACTTACTATTTCAGGTATACAGCTCTGATTTTGTCATTCTCCAGGTGAAATGCCTTTGATAGCTCTTTGTTCCCAGCACAATTACTTTGTAACTACTTGCCCTGATATTCAGTCATCCATAAACTGCTGCAACCTACCATGTTAATCTTTACCTTCCAGGATTTACTTTACGTAAGCTGTTTTGCCCCATAGATGTCTCCTGTGAAAAACATCTTACTGAAAAAGTTTAACACCAATACACTTCACTGAATTCCCAGATTCTTTCATTTACTTAAAAAAATCCAGCTTATATATCTAGTACAATTTACCAGTTTAAAATATATAATTCATTGGTTTTTAGTATATTCAGAATTCAATTTTGGAACATTTAATCTTACAAAAAAAAAACCCTTATACCTATTATTAATAACTCCTCATTTCTGCCTAATCTTCCATTCCGAGGCAATTACTAATAGATCATCTGTCTCTACAGACTTGTCTATCCTGGACACTTCAAATAAATAGAAGAATTCAATATGTGGTCTTTGTGACTGGCCTCTTACCCTTAGCCTACTGTTTTTAAGGTTCTATCCATGACGTACTTTAACATACTGTAGCATATATTAGTACTTCACTTCTTTTTCATTGCTCAATAGTATTCCATTATATGGATATACTACATTTCATTGATCTGTTTATTTATCTAAATATTTGGGTTGTTTCTGATTACAGGCTATTATGAATAATGTTACCAATAACATTTCTGTAAAAGTTTTTGGTAGGTATGTGTTGTCATTTCTCTTAATAGTATACCTAGGAATGGAATTGATGGCTCATATTCTAACACCAGGTAGAAATTTTTGAGGGACTGACAGTTTCCTAAGGTGGCTGTACCATTTTACATTCCTGTCAGTAGTGTATCAGCATTCCAATTCTTCCACATCCTTGTTAACACTTGCTATTATCTGACCTTTGTTGTTGTTTGCTTGTTTTTTGAGACAAAGTCTTGATGTGTTGCCTAGCCTGGAGTGCAGTGGTGCAAACTTAGCTCACTGCAACCGCCACTTCCTAGGCTCAAACAATCCTCCCACCTCAGCCTTCTTAGGTGCTAGGAATACAGGCACTCGCCATCACTCCTGGCTATTTATTTTCCTTTGTATTTATTTAGAGACGGGCTTTTGCCATATTGCCTAGGCTGGTCTCAAACTCCTGGGCTCAAGCAATCCTCACATCTTGGCCTCCCAAAGTGCTGGGATTACAGGTGTGAGCCACCATGCCTGGCCTGACTTTTTGATTATAGCCATCCTATGTATCTGATTCCCACCTACTGATTTACCAACTCTTTTTCATTTCAACTTTTATTTTAGGTCCAGAGGGTACATGTGTGAGTTTGTTGCATGAGTATATTGTGTGACACTCATGTATGGGGTACAAATAATCCCAACACCAATGTAGAGAACACAATATCCAATAGGCAGTTCTTCAGGCCCTTTCTCCATCCTGCCCTCCCCCACATGGTAGATCCCAGTGTCTATTGTGCCCATCTTTATGTCCATGCATAACCAATGTTTAGTTCCCACTTATAAGTGAGAGCATGCAGTATTGGGCTTTCTGTGCCCACATTAATTCACTTAAGATAATGGTCTCCAGCTGGATCCATATTGATGCAAAGTACATAATTTCTTTCATTTTATGGCTGCATAGTATTCCATGTTATGTTTGTACCACATTTTCTTTATCCAGTCCATAGCTGATGGACATCTACATTGATTCCATGTCCTCATTAATGTGAATAGTGTTTTGATGAACATATGAATGTATGTGTCTTTTTGGTAGAATAATTTATTTTCCTTTGGATATAAAGCCAGTAATGGAATTGCTGGGTCGAATCGTCGTTCTTTTGTAAGTTCTTTGAGATATCTCCAAGTTTCGTTCCACAGGCACTGAAATAGTTTACATTCCCACCAATAATGAACACGCATTCCCTTTTCTCCACAACCCTGTCAACATCTGTTATTTTTTTACTTTTTAATAGTAGCCATTCTGACTGGTGTGTGATGGTACTTCATTATGGCTTTCATTCGCATTTCTTTCCTGACTTGTGATTTTGAGTAGTTTTTCATATGTTTGTTGGCGACATGTATGTCTTCTGAGAAGAGCCTGTTCATGTTTTTTGCCCACTTCTTAACAGGGCTGTTCATCTTTTGCTTGTTGATTTGTTCAAGTTTCTTAGAGATAGTGGATATTAGATCTCTGTTGGATGCATAGTTTGCAAATATTTTCTCTCTGTCTGTTTACCCTGTTGATAGTTTCTTTTATTGTGCAGAAACCCTTTAATTTAATCAGGTCCAACTTATCCATTTTTCTTTTGGTTGAAATTGCTTTTGAGGACTTAGTTATGAATTATTTGCCAAAGCTGACGTCAAGAAGGGTATTCTCTAGGTTTTCTTATATGACATTTTATAGTTTTAGGTCTTATATTAAAGTCTTTGTTTCATCTCAAATTGACTTTTTTTCTCTGGTAAAAGGTAGGGGTCCAGTTCAAGCTAGTAGAAGAAAAGAAACAATAAAATCAGAGAAATCAGAGCAGAACTGAACAAAATTGAGACCCCAAAATCCATACAAAGTATACATGAAACCAAAATCTGTTTTTTGAAAGACTAAACAACAGCTATAGACCTCAGTAGGAAGACTAACAAAGAAAAAAAGAGAAAATATCCAAATAAGCACAGTGAGAAATGCAGCATAAAAACAATCCTACAGACATACAAATGATCCTCAGATACCCTTTTCCTCTCTGTGCACCAATTCTAAAATCTAGAGTAAATGGATAAATTCCTTGGAAATGCACAATCTCCCAAGACTGAATCAGGAAGTAATCAAAACTGAATAGACCAATATCAAGTTCCAAAATTGAATAAACAATTAAAAATCTACCAAATATAAAGAGCTCTGAACCAGATGGATTCACAGTTGAATTCTACCAGATGTACAAAAAAGAGTTGGTACCAGTCCTATTGAAACTACTCCAAAAACTTGGGAAGAGGAGGTCTTCCCCAACTTACTCTTCAAAGCCAGTATCACTCTGACACCAAAACCTGGCAACTAAGCACCAAAGAAAGAAAGCTGCAGGCTAATATCCCTCATTAACACAGATGCAAAAATCCTCAACAAAATATTAGCAAACCTAATTCAGCAGTACATCAGTAAGTTAATTTACCACAATCAAGTAGGCTTTATTCCTGGGATGCAGGGTTGGTTCAAAATATGCAAATCAATAAATGTGATTCGTGCATAAACAGAATTTAAAACAGAAACCATATGAAAATTTCAATAGTCACAGAAAAAGCTTTCATTAAAATCCAACATTCCATCATAACAAAATCTCTCAACAAACTAGGGACTGAAGAAACATATCTCAAAATAATGAGTCATCTATGACAGCCAACATCATACTGAAGGAGAAAAGCTAGCAGCATTCCCCTAAAGAAATGGAACACGATAAGGATGCTCACTCTCACCTCTTCTATTCAGCGTAATACTGAATTCAGGTCCTAGCCAGAGCAAACTGGCAAGAAAGAAAAATAAAAGTCATCTAAATAGGCAAAGAAGAAGTCAAACTATCTCTCTTCAGTGATTATATGATTCTATGGCTAGAAAACCCTAAAAACTGCACCAAAAGGCTTCTTGAGCTGATAAATCACTTCAGTGAAGTTTCAGGATAAAAATCAATGTAGAAAAATCAGTAACATTTCTATACACCAATAATGTCCAAGCTGAGAACAAAATCAAGAACGCTACTCCATTTACAGTAGGCACAAGGAAAACAAAATACTTAGGATTATATCTAACCAAGGAGATAAAATATTTTTATAAGGAGAAATATACAACATTGCTGAAAGAAATCATAGATCATACAAACAAATGGAAAACATTTGATGTGCATGGATTGTAAGAACCAACACCATTAAAAAGGCCATACTGCCCAAAGGAATCTACAAAGTATAGTTTAAAAATGTATAAACAACTTGTACCAATTTTAAAAGGATAAACAATACAGTAGTACAATGAGCAAAGAATTCCCAAAAGAGGAGTTAGAATAACCAATAAAAGCATGTAAAGAACACCAATATCACAAATAAACAGAAAATGACACATTTAAACAGTAAAATATATGTTCATACCTTAATGAGAAAAAAATATACAGAAACACTAACTTCATTTCTCTGAGGGAGAAATAATTTTAAGTCTTTTAAGTAATGATGAACACTTTAAGCCTAATAAGTCATGTTGGAGAGGAGTATGACAGTAACTAGCCAAATTGATAATACAATTGAGTCCTTATTTCCACTTCAAGATATATGCAATCAAACATTTTAAAAAGCCTCTTCACAAGGAGTTATGTAAAACAATGTTAATTGCAGCATTGCCATTAATGATGAAAATGAAGCTATGTAAATGAATAGCATACTGTATTTAATGCTATGTAACTGTTAAATGAATTAATTACATACACTTCTTTGTTTACGTGAACCATTGATGTACAGTAAAATATGTTTTTTAGACAAGAAATTATCAATAGCATATTATTTTAACACAAATATAAACAGAAAACATCTACATGTTTTATACGCATATGTATACAGAAATCTGATAAAATAGATTGTAGTGATATACATAAAAAGTCTGACAATATGAATTGTGTGACTTGTGCAGAACAAATGAAGTGGAGAAGAATAAAATAATGTGGTAAGCTTCTTTAAAAAAAGGTAATGGCTGAATGTATAAATCTTTAAAAATGAAGCCTGAAATATTTAAAAATGTAAAAAGTTTTTAACTCAAAATGCTTTGTTAGATCATTTTCCTTTGTTCTGTATGCTATCTGCAGCTTTTATATTTTAAATAAAAATTGGTAAAAAACATTGAAATGTAAATTCATGTATCTATCAAGAGATCTATATGCTTATATAGGCATATAAATACATAAGGAAATACAAGGAGCAGATAACAGTGGCTACCTCTGTGAACTGGTGGCAGACATTGATAAGACAGTTAGCTTCCACTGCATATAAACTTAAACTGTATGAACTTTTACCAGATAACTGTATTATCTATACATATAAACCAACCAAATATAATTGAAGAATAAACAAGCAAAAATGAATGAATAAACAACAAAAAAGAGAGAAAATAGATATAACATCATGGAGGTATAGAAATATATATGAGAAGGGAAGAAGTAGTAGAAATTAATTCTGAATCAATGTTTCCAACAAAGGTTGTTACTACAGGTATCATTTGAGCAAAGTCCTGAAAAATTATTCCCATTAAAAATAAATAGAACAGGCAGGGCACAGGGGCTCACGCCTGTAATCCCAGCACTTTGAGGGGTGAGGTGGGCAGATCACCTGAAGTCAAGAGTTCAAGACCAGCCTGGCCAACATGGTGAAACACCATCTCCATTAAAAACACATACATACACAAAAAAATAGCCATTCATGGTGGCATACACCTGTGGTCCCAGCTGCTCTGGAAGCTGAGGCAGAAGAATCACTTGAACCTGGGAAGCGGAGGTTGCAGTGAGCTGAGATCGCACCAATGCACTCCAGCCTGGGTAACAGAGCAACATTCCGTCTCAAGAAATAAAATAAAATAAATCAGAGGAAACAAAAAAGTACATGAAACCAGAAAAAATAATAATGTGGTCTTGTATCATCTGAAGTTTTTAATGAATTAATAGAATAGGTAAAAATATGTAATATCAAGGAACTTACTTTCTTATTTGCATTTATTTGGCATCATTATCTAGCCTTATTTCTACTTTCTGCTACCATTTTAATATCTAGTGGAAATAGATATTCTAATTTTAAGTAAACATATGTATTCAATTTGTTGCTTTATAACATAGCCTCTTTTTATCTCAGTTGTGATAGGTTTTACCATACTGCCTATTTTTAATATTTAAAAACATTTATTTTATTCCATTTGCAAAGGTGAGTAATTTTACCAATAAGTTTTTCAATTTTACTTATATTTTCTACATTATCAATTTTAAATATATTTATAAATTTTATAGATTTTACATTCATCTGTATACTACATATTATATAGTATAATTACATTCTTCTATATAGTATATATTATATACTATAATTATACTATGTATTATATACTATAATTAGATATACTATACAGCTATTAATATCCTTAGAAAGCATGTACTGAGTTTCCATTCTATTGATGAAAATTATGATATGCTCTGATATTTTCTAGGAACTAAACGAATGCTACATCTGACCTGAGTACTCTATTAAATACAAAATAAAAGATTCGAGTGTACATTTACACACGAGCATGGTAACTGCATCATTATTTTTAAATGTTTATTTGTAGATACCACATAACATACAATAAATGGGAATCTGTATAATACATTCTTTTTCTATATTATGGAATAATATATAGCTACATGAATTATAGTAAGTGAATATTTAGTGATTTTAAAAATTGGTAAAAATATTGCGTTATATGAAAGGGTATGTTACATATTTCAATATCATGATTCTAAATATTTTACAAGTTATCCGAATAAAAACAAATGTGCTTATAGACATGGTATATGAATCATTTTTTTTTTCAAAGCCGAATGGCATAAATTTCTAGGTCCTACCTCAATTGTGATTTTTAACAAAATGTATTAAAAATTCAAATTAGTCTTGTCCAGTAGCTCAAATCTCTAATCTCAGCACTTTAGGAAGTTGAGGTGGGAGGATTTCTTGAGCCCATGAGTTTGAGACCAGCCTGGGCAACATGGCAAAACCCCGTCTCTACAGAAAATACCAAAATTCGTGAGGCATGGTGGCGTAAGCCTGTAGTCTCACCTACTTGGGAAGCTGAGGTGGGAGGATTGCTGGAACCCAGGAGGTTGAGGTTGCAGTCAGCTGTGATCATGCCACGGCACTCTGGCCTCAGCAACAGGGTGAGACTTGGGTCTCAAAAAAATTAAATCACTTTATATAATATGTTATGATGGGGATTGGCATCAGGGGGTAGTTTTATACTCAACCATAATATTATTATGCTTTTTAACTTTTAATTTTGAAGTAATTTCAGCATGATGAAAGCGGACAATTTTTACCCAAGAACTGAAATTTAGTATTTCTTGTAACTGAACAACTATGCATTTTGCTTGTTTATACAAGCCATACTTTGTTTCAGCTATTGTTAGTGCACTTAATAGGAATGCGGATAACAGAATACAAGGTTTCCTAAGACCTTTTCAGATACTCATTGCTTTGTAGTCCATGCCAGACTGAGGTAAAAATTCTTCACATTTTAAAATACGACTACTTGAGGGGAAACCAGAGGTCTGGGAAAAATAGCATGTTAGCAAAGATTTGAATCAATCAATATATAAGTAAATCGATAATTTATTGTTTAATGGATCAATGAACATTTGAATAAGATGTAGTAAAATTTTCTCTATATATTTGAAGTTTGTATATTCCTTAATTGTAAATGCTATATATATAATATTCTATATGTTATTGAATAACATATAATTCACTAAAAGCTTGAATATCTTTTTAAAGTATATTAAATATAAGCAGGTCTTTATGCAAATATTTTTAAATCTTTGCACAAGGAGATTGGTCCTCTCTAAGCTTTGCATGAGATGGGAAAGGAGTTTGGACTAAATAGTTTTTATAATCTTTTAAAATCTGAAATGTATTTTGAATGCTAGTTCTCCTCTTCAAAGAGTAGTCAATAAAATGGGGAAAGACTAGAAATAAAGACAACATTATAAAAGTTCTACAGTAGACATGGTTAGGTATCTTTTCCACCTTTGAAACACTATATTATATTTATTTATTTACTGTGGAAGAGCATCATCCACAGCACTGCACCCTCACAGTCAACATTATGCCCAGTCCCATGGTCCACATTAATTTGACTAGTGTTTAAAACATCCTTATCAATCTATTGGACCTCCCCATAAGATGCTGTAATAAGCCATGGGAGACTCTAAGCCAGTTCTTGCTGATGATTAAATATGTAACCTGTAAATTCAGGTTACTCTGTGAAAATGTGCTTGGCAATGAGCAAGGAATAGAGAATGCTTGGATTAGAAATATTAATAGACTGCAAAGAAGAAAGTAATCAACAACAGAGACTTAGTTCATTGTAAGGGTCTATTATTTTCTGGATCCTGTCCATTGCCAAAAGAATCATCACTATATTTCAGCTGCAAGATTTTGTGAAACAACTATATATCCTCATTCCAAATTCTGCTTTTGAACTCTTAAGGTAGCTTAGGTTACTTATAGTTAGTTGCAACTGTAGTTTAATAGATCTAAGTTCTATATAGGAGAAATTACCAAATCAATAATTTTAAGAAAGCTAGTCCCTAAGTGCTCCTAAAATGCCACACTCAAAAGACATAGTGAGAGAATATAACAAGCATGCAGTCTAGCCTAAAAATGAGTCAAAGAAAACACCATCAGTTAGAATTCTAACACAAGCTTGTTCAAGCACAGAATATCCCATTTTTCTTGATTTCATCGTTTTGCTAAGCCATTCTTGAATCCTCAGTTTTTAATAGGGTTATTGTAATTAGACTTAGATAATAACGTTCCTTTTCAGAGACCTAGTCTTTTTTTTTTTTGCTTTGCTTTCTTTATATCATTCTTTGATTCTCAGTGATTAATAACAGTGTCATTAAGCTAATAGCAGGTCACTAAGTGGATGCAGATTGGCGACATTAACCAGAGGATACCTGTGAAGCAGACTGAACCACCACACATAATAAATCATGCCTTTTGCCAGGCTGGAGTAAAAATTCTCTGCTTATTCCAGAGGAGTTAATTTGCAGAGAAGAGACAAAATTCAAAAGCAAGTTATAACTCAATTCTTAGAAGTGACTGAGATTTTCTACTTGTTATTAATGGATATATCTTCTTTTAAATACTAACTTTTAAATTAGTGTTATTCAAGTAAATTGTTGGTTGATTTTCAGCAAGTTATTTAAAAGTAAAGAATTATGAAATATTTTAACAGAAAAAGACAGATATAATCTATCAGCTATTTGCATAGATTAATAAAGAGAATGTTACTTTCTCAAAGTCACATAGAAAATGGGTCAAAAGTTTAGGCTTACCTCTGGTTCTGATGATTTTGAACAGCTGTTGTGTGTGTGTGTGTGTGTGTGTGTGTGTCTTGTGTAGTCTATTTTTTTAATAGATACGGGGTCTCACTATGTTGCCCAGGCTAGCCTTAAACTTTGGGCTCAAGGAATCCTCTCACCTCGGCCTCCCAAAGTGCTGGGAGTACAGGAGTGAGCACCATGCTCAGCCCTTATAGCCTTTCGATTGTATATAATTGTTTATTTACATTACTAAATAAGCAATGTATTAAATTAACAATCTTTTTAGCTCACTATTTTAAAAGGCCATTATGGACCAATTCCTGTGATCATTTCTGAGGTTACTATGGAGAATAAATATGGTCACAGTCCTCAAGAACCCACGATGGAGAGAGATCGGAGTTACAAATGCAAATATCTGTTATGTAGAGCGGTATGTAGTATGGAAGAGGATCGATAACCTGATGGAGAAACACACAATATGCTTTGGAGTCTCAGAAAGAGACTTTAATTATAGAAAATGTAAAATTGACTATGCTGTGTTGTATGTTTGGGTTTGAAAGTAGAAAAAAATCTTCCTATTAATTGGTATCAATAATTAAGCATCCTCTGTGAAACTAAAATTATTTTAAACACTCATACTATCTATCTATCCATCCATTTTTTGCACTTACCTATCTACTTCCTTATAACAATATCAGAAATGAAAGTTATTTGTCTGTTTCAAATAAAATAAAATTAAAAGAAAAAGACCAAGAAAAATATTTTTAAAGCAATTAGAACTATAACAAATCCAAATTTGCCTGATTCTTTCCTTAAAAGAGGAAAATTTTGCAAATGAAGTTTTTTTCCCCTGCAGAGTTGAAAGCCAAACTATAAAAATTTATTGGTTTCTGAAATTTATTGGTTCCTAAAATTTTCTCGTTTTCCCAGATTCATGTTTCATATGACAAGTTAAACCATGCAAAAGTATATAAAGTGTTCAGAAATAGAAAGTAAATAGCATCAAGTAATCTTCTAGCTGCATTATTCACAGAGATATTGCTGTGCATAAAATGAAATGGTAACAGTCAGATCCAGGATGAGTGTGAGGTACAAGAGTCAATCCCTAATATTTGGTACTGATATCTGCAAAAGTTTGTATAGACTTTTGTCCTCTGAAAAGCACATTGCTTTCAAGTGGTATCAATATTTAGTTAAAAAAAAACTTCATGAATTCATGATTTCTGACTACTTCTCAGATTTCTCTCTTGAAAAAAGGGGTCTTACACCACATTTTAAATGTTGACAATATAAAAAATGATAAATCTGAGCCAAGTCTCTCTTCTGATGAAAAATAGGTTCTCCTCCATACTCTCAAATTCCTCCTATCTGTGGTACCCATTTTTCATATTTGTAGAAATGTAATCTAGACATTTAAACAGTCCAATTAGAGACATGAAAATATTCCATTATGATTGGCCTTCTTACAAAATATAAGCTGCTTCTAGTCCTTAAAACAATTTAAATTATGGGGCGAGGTATTGGGGGGTGAGAAATAAAAAAAAAAAAGAAATAGGTTGTGTGCTACATAAATCATTGTATATATCTATATACACACACACACACATATTCACATGCATATATATGAAAGTGAACATCTCATTGGTATTGAAATGTACACATTAATTTATTTTTATATATTTAACTGTACCAGTATAAACCTTATATTTCTAAAGAGACTTTATTTAAATATAATTTATTTTAGCCAATGGAAAACATGTGTCTATTTTCTTTTTCACTAAAATGATTTTCCAAACTGTAGCACTTCATTGAAACTCTATTGCGTCCTAAGTGAAATTTTCCTTATGATTCATTTTCACTTAATTTCCATTGAATTTACCTAATGATTTGTTGCAAAGATTAAATAAAAAGGAGAAAAAAAATATTGATAGTTACTACATAACACAAAATGTTCACATATTATAATAGTTAATATCGTACTAAACTAAAGGGATTATCTTTATTTAAAAATATGAAATATAGGTTCATTTATATGTTGCCATAATAATGAAATTATTAACTATCATTATATTATAAATTTTAATTCTATGGGATTAAATATACATATATATTATTTATATATATACGTATATTCATTCAACTTCCTCACATTTCCTGCTGACTCTCCTCCATTTCTCTGTCATGCTGTATATACACTTAAATCTGTCACATAGAGACTGTCTACTTGATTGAAATGGATAGTAGACAGCACCACAATGTAATATTGCCTTGGACTCAGAATAGCTATTGCTCCTGTGCTCTGTAGGGCAAGCCACACTATTTTTTCATTTTTCTTTCAATGCCTGTCTACCTTTTATATTATTGGTTTCTTATGTCTGCTGACCAAGACATAAGAAATTCTGTGAGCCTGTCAGAATCATACAATCATGAAATATACCATTCCTTGTCTTTCATGTGCATTTAAAGGGTCATATGAGGATGGACATTTAGGCTACTTATAGTTTATCACTTTTGCAATAATGCAGTATTCACAATTTTTTATCTACTAAGTGTTCATACGAGTGAAAGAAAATATTAAAATTAAAATAGTGGGGTTAAAGGTGTAGTCCTCATTTTAATATAGATCGGTGTCAACATTTACACTAAAATAGTGCTCTAATTTATATTCATAAAGTGTATAAAGGGAAGCACCTGTTACTCTATCTTTTTTCCAACCGTGGAGTTTATTTATTATGTATAATAATAACTTGGTGTCAATTACACAGGGAGAACAGTATAGGCAAATTGGGTGTAAATTACAGAGACCAGTCTTTACTTACACAGAAGAGTTTGGCAATCTGAAGGAGTGGTTTGGAGCACACTTTATCCTTAGCCTGAGGTATCAATACTTGCCTATAATTTAAAATAAAAAGGGCATTCTTCTTTCGTTGGTTTTTATAGGAGTTTAGGTGAACTCCACTTCTGTTGACAATAAAGGTATTTATCAAATGATAAAATATGCAGGGGGGAAATTACATATTTTAACTTAACTGGACTTTGAAGGCAAGAGTCATTAGAAAATATTGACTCTGGAGCCAGGCTGACTGATTCTGAAACCTGGCTCTAGCATTTATTGTGTGGTCCTTGGCAAGACAGCTAACTGCCCTGTTTCTGGTCTTATTTATTTGTTTTTGAAATGGAATAACGATATTACGCAGGACTTTACAGGAGGATGTAAAGAATGACTTTTTAGATTCCACATATAAGTGAGATCATACGGTATTTGTCTCTCTGTGCTTGGCTTATTTCACTCAGTATAATGTCCTCCAGTTCCACCCATGTCACAAATGACAGCATTCTCTTCTTTTATAAAGCTGTAGCATTCCATTGTGTAAATATACCACATTTTCTTTATCCATTTTTATATTAATGGACACTTACATTGTGTCTTTATGTTCAGTATTATGAATAATGCTGAAATGTTCTTTAAAAATGTTATTTTTAAAAATAAAAATAACCTAGATTAGGTACCAAAAAGAAGACAAGAAAAAGAAAAGAAGTGTACCTAGAGTAAGAACTAAAGGAGTAAAAACGTATGTAGAGTGGTTAGAACAGTTTCTGGTGTGATTTTTAGCTAGTAATTTTATTTCTATACTTATATCGTACATTAAAATAGTATAAAACATTTTGCATTAAATAATAACAATCTAATCAATAGACAAATATTTATTGATGTCACATTTATGGCAAAAATATTTGGTATTGAAAAGAAATATATATTTCAAATTATAAATATGTAATAAATGTTGATTGCTTAGGTTTACATAAATATTGTCTAACAATAAAATGCAGCACATGCCGTGCCAGATTTGTGACCCAGAAAACAATCTGGAACACTGGGACTTCCCAGATATTGTAGTAGCAGAAAGACCCTGGTAATAGAAAGACAATCCTGGCATAAGATGTTAAACTGGACTGCATTATGAGATATCTGAATAACTAGACTCTTAAAAGCAAATTTATATTTATGGATCTAAATTCCATCATTTATTAAATAGAAGTATGGGACCATAAATTATCCAGGAGGTCTTCCAACTCCCCAGTTCTATTTGTTTTAAATCTGTGAACAAGCTCTGCAGGTATATAGAATAATGAGAAAAAAATGAACATAATAATAAAAGAAGGAACTTAAGTATTCATATTCAGGTTCAAGTGGTAATTATTTTCTAGAAAATTTTGCTGCCTAATTACATTTTTTATTGGGCTTGTTATTATTTTCATGTATTGGTCATTAAGGATGTGCTAGGTTTTACGTTAAATGGTTTTATTTTATCTAATAGCTTTGTTTAACTACATAACCGTAATTTTTAATAGATAGTTTTAATACAGTATGTCATCAGTATAACCTCTTATGAACTATCAAAGTGGCTTATTCGCTGAATTGTTTTTGAATTCAATACAAGTTAAAGGTTTGTAAATAGGGCACTGTGACATATTATAAGAACTATCATTCAAGAAGGATTAGTTTTTGTGACAAGGAGAACCAGGGCAATCAAATGGGCCTTAGTCTTCTATTTATAACATTGGGATATTAATGCTCACTTAATGATGTAATGAATATTAGTTACACATTGTGGCTGCAAACATCTTTTACATAACCTTCATGTGTATAAAGAATTCATCATATTATCAATCTTACCTCTAAAATGTAGGAGCCAGAATGTGGCCTTGACTATTCCAATCAGATGAGCCCCCAGAAATCTTAGAGTAAATAGAAACCTGAGCAAAGAGCTTTGCAGACTCTATATCCTGGTAAAGGTTCTAAGTAGAACATCTGGCTTTTGACATGACTGGTAATGGGGTTGCAAGCTCTTCATCTGTATAACCAGTTGTGGTATCAATGACAGGAAGCAATGCTATCCATGCTGCAAAGGAGCTGATGTGAACTAAATTTTTTTTCCTGGCTACAAATACTCAAATCCAGTTTTGGTTTGGTGAGCATTCCTGGGTATATTGTGAGCATTCTACTTTTTCTTTCTTTCTTTCTTTCTTTTTTTTTTTTTTTTTTTTTTTGACAGGGCCTCAGTCTGTCACCCGAGCTGTAGTGCAGTGGTGCAATCTCGGTTCACTGCAACCTCTGCCTCCCGGGCTTAAGTGATACTCCGGCCTCAGCACACCAAGTCCATGGGACTACACGTGCATGCCACCATGCAGGGCTAATTTTTGTATTTTTGTAGAGACGGGGTTTCATCATGTTGCCCAGGCTGGTCTCCAAGTACTGAGTTCAAGTGACCCCATGCCTCAGCCTCTCAAAGCTCTAGGATTACAGATGTGAGCTACCATGTCCGGTCACATTCTCATATCTTTAAATTGACAATATATTTTTACTAGCCAGAGTAGGTCTCTAAAATTTATAAGTATGTATTTTGGTTGATATTTTTGTTAGATAAAATAATTTAAATGCCCAGAACATGTGATTGTGCAAAATTTGTTTTCAATGGATGTTCATCTAAAGAAATGTTTGACTTCAGGGTCAAAATAGTGTGACTTCAGGGTAAGATGATGCTTCAAGAAGA
The DNA here is from genome assembly GCF_000001405.40 of Homo sapiens. Lineage (NCBI taxonomy): Eukaryota > Metazoa > Chordata > Mammalia > Primates > Hominidae > Homo > Homo sapiens. Next base: position 102,566,105 of record NC_000009.12, read on the forward strand.
GGTATATATCTCAACACTTGAAGAGAGATTAATGACATTAATCAAAACATTGGAAAATAAAAGTAATAATAATAATAAACTTTTGCCATTGCAAACGGGATAAATGTACCACCCATCTTTCATTCATTTCAATATATTTATTTTAGACTGTGTGCTTTTGGGAAAGTGACTGCTGTCCTAGTCATAAATTCAAAAATATACTTGATAGTATAAATATCTTAGTGGTTCGAAAGTAGAAGGAATTAAAAATTTTAGATACAGAAAATATTTCACCAGAAATTTTGTTTTAATTTTGTAATTTAAAATAAAAATAGACTTTATTTATTCTATAAAGAGTTAAAAATAACAGTAACATGAATTCCTCTTCTTTGTAAGAAATTAATTTTTTAAAATATAAAAGCGTTCAGATATTGCCTTTGGGAGCTTTAGTCTGTGTGTTATAGAAAGAGTCCAGCTTTGGGCCTGATTAAGGCTAAGTTCCTAAGTCTGATTATATGATTCACTGCATTTATTGTGAGCGTAAAGCAAATCTGAAGTGCCAGTTCAGTTCTCTAATGTAATTTCAAAATTCTATAAATATCAGAACATAATAGGGAATTATTTCTGAGAGATATTTACATTTTTATTTAGAATGTTAAATGAATAGCAAATTTTAGTCTTATTGTAGTGTCATGGAACTTGTCTTCTAGAGACACTAAAAGAACATATATATACATATATATATATATACAGTCAAGATATCATGTTATACACCTCAAATATACACAATTTTGTCAATTATACCTTCAAAAAGATGGAAAAAAGAACAGGAAGCATAACTCATAATTTAAAAATCAGAATTCAGCGTTCAGAGATACTCTGAAAATATGTGGAACAAAAGGCCTACAAGTCAAAAATAAAAATCCATATATTTTCTTTGTATATTCCAAGTAGAAAAATTATAAGCATATTTCTGTCTCTCATTCTTTAAGAAATGGAAAATTGAAGAATAAAGGAAGGAAAGACAGATGGATGCTCTGGGCTAACACCTAACTTAAAGACTTTGCGATGATTGCTCCTTCTGGTCATACTGTGCTTTCTCCCCGATATTCGTATGGCTAATTCACTTGCTTACCTTAAATGTCACTTTCTTGTCAATGTCTGCTCTGACCATCCTATGTGAGATTTGAATTTTCCCACATCTCTGATGTTCTATACCCCATTTCATTCTACTTCCATAACACTTAAAACTGCTCAATACATAATTTATAAATTATATAACATAACATATAATTTGTAAATTTATTTTGTAAGCACTGAAAAAAATAGATTTTTATGTCTTTTGTATCTTGAGGGCTGAGGATATTCCTGACATATAGTAGGGGCTCGTTGTACTTGTTTAAAATGTGAATGATATAAAAAATATGTCAATAATATATTGTTAAATTACACAAGTATGTACTGAAAAATATGCACTTTTAACATAAAATCCCATTATTAGTTTTCAATAAATAGGTATGTAAATTATGTGTGAACAGATGTGCCCCAAGATATTAACAATGTTAATGCAAGTATATTCATATTGTAGATGACATACATATTGGCTTGCTTGTTTAGTTTACTTTTATCTTTATTTTATTTTCTTTTTTTCTAAATTAACATTGATTACTTATTTTAAGAGATATACATGGAAAGAATAAAAGAACAACAGAAAAAAGAAAGACAGAAGAAGAGTAATAAAGCTATGGCTTATATTTCAAGACTCTCCTCTGAAATAAAAACAAATGGCTGAGAGAATATAAAAGTTTGGGGAAAATGCAGTACTTTTTCAGAATTCACTTTCTTTAATGCACTTTTATTCTGTAACTACTCCACAAAATTAGTTTATCCACCTTTAGCAATTTATTATTCATATTAGTTCATTATTTTGTATGTAGTCTTTGCACTGAAAATGCACAAAATTTATGATAGCTACTTTATTCAAGTGGTTTATACACATGTAGATTATTAGACAGACTTTAACTGGACATCATTTTCATAGGATGTTAACATAATCTCTTTAAAGAAATGCCTCCCAGATACACTAACACTTAAACATTAGTTAGTACTTTGCATTTATATTTGCTCATTCTGTAATTCCATTTCTTATCATGCTGTCTGATTATTTTTCTCTTTAAGTTAGAATACAGAGTCACAGACTGTAGCCTGAGTTCTGATTGGAATTGACTCAAACATTAGCATTTAATCTTCTCCAATCAAACTGCAATAAAGAATCATGAAAATTAAAGAGAAAATTAATAACAAATTATACAAATATATACTCCTCAAAAGTAAGTGCACTGGAGTAATGTCAGCAAGATAGCAAAATAGAAGATTCTCCAGCATTACTACACCCACAAAAGTACACTAGCAACTATTCAAAGACAAGAATATCACCCTGAATACACCAGAACTCTGAAGACAAGCAGAAAACCCCATGTGCACACAGAAATGAGAAAACCCATGACTGGTAAGAGGAATGGTCATTTTAGACCATTGATCCTGTCCCTGTCCCCCAAGCTAGCATAAGATCACTTGCAGAGAATTTCTCTAGATCTACAATTTCTCAGGTGAGAGGAAGAAATTGGAGGTTAGGCATTCAATCTCCCCACCAGTTTGTGAATATTTGTGGGGCACCCGATCCGATCCCATCCCGTGGAAGTACCAGGAGGGATAAAACCACTTGAGTTGAATTGGAGACAAGGGGTGAGGGCACTGATCACAGAAATTGGTATGTGGATCTTGGCTGCTTCTCTGCATTCTGATCAGTAAGGATGCCACAGTGAAGTGATTGGCTGACACCACAGATGCTGCAGGGGGCACCATCTGTGAGAAGGCCTAAATTCCTGATTGGATTTCTCAGAAAACCCAGATGCTTTTGTGGAACATTTCCGTGATCTGGAAACAAGTTAAAGGTTGGCAATGGTGTTTGCTTAAGTCTTCCCCAGACCCAGAAACCACTGCAAGTCTGTATTTAAGTTCCAGTGCAGCATATAAGTTCTGATGATAACCGTTCCAAGCATACAACAGCAGGGCAGCAAGTTAGTTCTAGTGCAGGGCTTTAGTTCTGGTGCTCATTTTACTTCCTCCCCAGAATGAGAAGCAACAGCAGAGCAGCAATTCAATATTATGTAGTACATGTCTAACACCACTAAAGAACATGTGAAAAAGCTGAAAGAGATAGCTGCTTCCCCAAATACATAGGCATAAACATAAAGATGTAAAGATTGTGAAAACTCAGGAAAATATAACATCAAAAGAAACAAAGCACCAGTAATGGTCTTAGAAAAATTGAAGATCTTTGAAATGTATGACAAAGAATTCAGAGTAACTCTCTTAAAGAAGTTCGGATTCTTATATGGCATTTATGGACCTGCGCTGGGCCAGAAGGAAGCCCAGTGTCCTGAAGGGTGAGTCCCAAGCAAGGCAGCATTCACCACAAGCTGACTTAAAAGACCTTGGTCCTTAACGGAACATGGGTGGTAGTCTGGCAGTACTCCTTGTGGCCAAGGGTGGTGCTGGCTATGGAGTGAGGCACCTCTCCCTCTGGAAAGAGGAGGGAAGAGTGGGAAGGACAGTATCTTGTGGTTTGAGTACCAGCTGGGCCACAATACAATAGAATACCAGGTAGACATCTAAGGTTTTTGACTCTAGTTCCTGACTCCCAAATGCTAATTGTGGACCCACTGGAGTCTGCAGGACCTCACCACACTGAATGGAGTAGGACATGAGCCTGGCTGGCTTTCCCACCTGCTCTACCCCAACAGGCCTTGAGCAAACATAGGCAGTATCCAGGGAGTGGGTACAGCAGGCGTTGGGCAAGACCCAGCACTGTGCTGGGTTCAGGTCTGATCTAGCACAGTCATAGTGGTGGCCACAAGGGTGCTTGTGTAACTCCACTCCCAGCTTTAGGTGTCTCAGAACATGCATGTGTGTGCACACACACACACACAGAGAGAGAGAGACAGAGACAGAGACTGTATGTTTATGAGAAAGTAAGGGAAGAGAAAAAGAGTCTCTACCCGGTAATCTGAATAATTCTTCTAGAACTTGTCCAAGACCATCAAGGCAGTACCTCTATGAGTCTGCAAAAACCACAGTATTACTGGGCTTGGGGTGCACACTAAAGCAGAAACAGTTTAGATCACAACACCAAAGTCCTCTCAAATATCTAGAAAGCCTTCCTACCAAGGACTACTACAAATAAGCCCAGACAGTGAAGACCACAATAAATACCTAACTCTTCAAGATCCAGACACTGAAGAATACCTACTAGCATCAACAACATTCAGAAAAATATGACCTCACCAAATGAATTAAGTAAGTCACCAGGGACCAGTCCTGGAGAAACAGAGATATGTGACCTTTCAGAGAACTAAAAATAGCTGTGCTAAGAAAACTCAAAGAAATTCAAGATAACCCAGAAAAGGAATTCAGAATTCAATGAGACAAGTTTAACAAAGAGATTGAAATAATTACAAAGAATTAAGCAGAAATTTTGAAGCTGAAAAATGCAATTGGTGTACTGAAGACTGCATCAGAATCCTTTAATATCAGAATGGATCAAGCAGAAGAAAGAAGTATTAAGCTTGAAGACAGGCTATTTGAAAATACAGTCAGAAAAGACAAAAGAAAAAAAGAATTTAAAAATTAAACATGCTATAGGATCTAGAAAATAGCCTCAAAAGGGCATATCTAACCATTATTGGCCTTTATGAGGAGGTAGAGAAAGAGATAGGATCAGACAATATGGATTTTAAGAGAAAAACTATAAGAAGAGGCAAAGAAGTTCACCATATAAAAATAAAGAGGTCAATCCCACAAGAGGATATAACAACTTTATAAATGTATGCACCCAACACTTGAGCACCTAGATATATAAAGGAAATAGTATTAGAGCTAAAGAGAGAGAGAGATAGGCCCCAATACAATAATAATGGGAGACTTCGACACCCCACCTTCAGCATTGCAGAGATCTTCCAGACAGAAAATCAACAAAGATACACACATTTAATTCACACTATAAATCAAATGAATCTAATAGATGTTTACAGAACATTTCATCAAAGAACTGCAAATACACATTGTTTTCCTCAGCACATAGATAATTCTCAAAGATACATGAGACATTAAGTCACAAAACAAGTCTTGAAACATTCAAAGAAGTTCAAATAATATCAAGCAACTTCTCTGATCACAATGGAATAAAACTAGAAATTGAAAACAAGAGGAATTTTGGAAATTATATGAATACATCAAAAATAAACAATATGCTTCTTAATGACCAGTGGGTCAATGAAGAAATTAAGAAGGAAATTGAACAATTTCTTGAAATATATAATAATGGAAATACAACATACCAAAACCTATGGGATACAGCAAAAGTAGTACTAAGAGGCAAGTTTATAGCTGTAAGTGCTTGTATCAGAAAAATGAAAAATTTCAAATTAGCAAGTCAATTATGCATCTTAAAGAACTAGAAAAGCAAGAGCAAGCCAAACCCAGAATTATTAGAAGAATAGAAATAATAAAGATCAAAGCAGAAATAAATGAAATTGAAATAAAAAGTGATACGAAGATCAATGAAACAAAGTTGGCTTTTTGAAAAGCTAAACGAAATTGGCAAGCCTTTAGCTAGACCAAGAAAAAAAAGAGAGATGATCCCAATTAATAAAATCAGAAATGAAAAAAGACATTACAGCTGATATTACAAAAATTCAAAGGATCATTTGCGGCTACTATGAGCAACTATATGCCAATAAATTGGAAAATCTAGAAGAAATGGACAAATTTCTAGATACATACAATCTACCAAAATTGAACTAGAATCAAATCCAAAATCTGAGCAGAATAATAACAAGTAGTGAGATTAGAGCTATAATAAAAGTATCTCAGTAGAGCCCAGGATCTGATGGATTCATTGTTGAATTCCAAACATTTAAATAAAAACTAATACCAATCCTACTCAAACTATTGTGTAAAACAGAGGAGGAGAGAATACTTCCAAACTCACTCTACAGGACCCGTATTACCCTGATACTAAAACTAGACAAAGACATATCACAACAAACAAACAAATATATAGATAGATAGATACAATTATTATGTACTATAGTTAACCTCTTGTGCTATCAAATAGCAGGTCTTAATCATTCTTTTTAACTACTTTTTTGTGCCCATCATCCATCTCACCTCCCCCTCACTCTCACCCCTCCAATAACCTTCTCAGTCTTTGGTAGCCATCCTTCTACTGTGTCCATGAGTTCAATTATTTTGACATTTAGATTTCACAAATAAGTGAGAAGCTGTGGTATTTTTCTTTCTCTGCCTGGCTTATATCACTTAACATAATGATCTCTTTTTCCATCCATGTTGCTGTAAACTACTGGATCTCATTCTTTTTTATAGCTGAATAGCACTCCATTGTGTATATGTTCCACATTTTCTTTATCCACTCATTTATTGATGAACACTGAGGTTGCTTTTGAATCTTAGCTATTGTAAACAGTGATGCAACAAATGTAGAAGTGCAGATACAAATAACAAGCAGGAATATGACCAAATGTTTAACATCACTAATCGTCAGGGAAATTTAAATCAAAGACACAATGAGATATCAACCTACCTCAGTTAGAATAGCCATTATCAAAAAGACAGAAAATTGCAAATGCTGTGAGGATAAGGAGAACAGGGAATGCTTGTACACTGTTGGAAGGAATGTAAATTAATATAGCCATTATGGAAAACAGTATGAAAGTTTCTTAAAATACTTAAAATAGAGCTACTACATTATCCAGTAATGCCAATGCTTGGAATGCATTCAAAAGAATTGAAATCAGTATTTAGAGGAGATATCTGCATTCCTATGTTTATTGCAGTACTACTATCAGTAGTGAAAGATAGAATCAACATACATGTACATCAACTGATGGATGGATAAAATGTGGTATATATATAAAATGGAATACTGATCAGCCTTAAAATAGAATGAAATGCTGTCATTCATGGTGAGGTGGACGAACCTGGAGACGTAATATTCAGTGAAATAAGCCAGACACAGAAAGACAAATACTGCATGCTCTCACCTAGATGTGGAACCTAAAAACATTCATTTTATAGAAGTAGAGAGTAAAATAGTAGCTTCCCCAGGTTAAGGAAGGAAGGATGGGGAGAGGTTGGTCAAAGGGTACAAAGTTACAGTTAGATAGGAAGAATAAACTCTGGAGTTCTACTACATAGTAGGGTGACTGTACCCAATAACAATCTACTACATATTTCAAGACAGCTAGAAAAAGAGGATGTTGAAAGTTATTATCACACAGAAATGGTAAAGTTAGAGGTGATGGATACGCTCACTACCTTGATTTAATCATCATGCAATGTATACATGTATTTAGACATCACACTGTATCCCGTACACATGTACAGCTATGCGTCAATTATAAGCTAAATAAAAAAGTACACTAATATTTTAAATGCATTCCTACTAGTACTGTTAAATAGAAGAGGAATTGTATAAAAATTTAATATCCTTGAAACATAAGTAAACTTATCTAAACCTACAGATGATTTTAGAAATATCATCAAATTGAAAAAGCATTTTAAATTATGTACCTTTCTTTGAATTATAGATACCATTTGTATCTTTAAAACATTGTTCTAATGTATCATAATTTTTGCTTGTATAATTTCTTGATTTCTTATCATTTGTCATTTCTAATAATAGGTAATTTTTTTCACTTGTGCACCTTGCATTTATTCTCTTTCTTCAAATCCATTTTTCATGATTTTGCTAAAATTATCTTTTTATATTTTATTTTTTTTCTGGACATAAAGTGATATGTGCTTGTTGACCTGGAAAAGCTGAATAGCAGAATGCTGCTAATAATAAATTTTACAATTTACAGATTATGGAATGTCAATACTAAATTATGATAGAAATTCATGAGGACTAGATGGACATATCTCAACCATAATAAAATGCGAGTGATAATTTTTGGACAGTGAGCACTTATATTTTCAGTTTGATCAGAAAGTTTACTCTATATTAGATCACATTTTTAAAAGTATCTAGGTAAAGATGCTTGAAGTTTTCAAAAGCAAACAAAACAAAACAAAACTCCTGGACATATTTTATCATTTTTCACTGTTCGATCCATATTCTCCCACTGACAATTCTCTCTAGGAAGTTAGTTCCTTTGGTGTGCAATTATTCTCCAATATGCAGCTTAAGCCTTGTATATGTTGTGACTAACAAAGGAAAACTAGGCAGGCTCCTGGTTGTGCCTGCCTTTCAGCTAATTCTCTTGCCAGTTATTCATGAGATCATCTGTTGCTCTTAACTTGAATTACTCTGAAGTAATAGTTTTGACATCTCTGCCATTATTTCATTTTACTGTATTTCAGTGATTTGAATATAGTCTGAGGCCATTCAGGAACAGAAAGGTAACTAGATTCATTTTATTAACCCAAAAGATTATGTTGTTGCAGTATGGTTTATTTAAAAAATACTTCCTCCTCCTGCTGCTCTGAAATTAAAATATTAAAAATAATTTCCTACACATGTCTATAACTCTCGGGACTCACAATTCTATTCCATCGCACAGCCTACTCATCTGTGTTCCAGAACCAAAATCTTTTCATTATTATACTGTTGCAATATTTTATTTCTTTGTGGAATGAGTTTCTTTTGATAGAACTTTTCTTGGCCCAAAATGATTGTAGTCAAAGGTTTATTCTTCTTGCTGAATCTAAAATTATTTTCAAGTTTTATAAAATATATATTATTATATCAGAATTGGATTCACTTATCAATTAGATTCGTGTACACAGAATTGACATCTTGTTGAATTTCTCATTAGGCAATATGATAATTTAATCAATCAGATCCTATTTGTGGCTATAAAGAAGTGGTGTAGCTCCCTTTATACAGGTGATTCAAGGTACTTGTTAGTTTTTATGATGATGTTTATTAGAGTTATTTTTATTATAAATTGGGTCTTACTTTTGCTTGCATTTTCTATAAGATAATTTAGATGTATAAGAAAACTGTAGATTGTGTACATTTATTTTGTAACTACTCATTTCGCTTTTATGTCTGATAGTGTAACTTAAAGCAGATAATGTTATCATCTTCAAGTCATAATTATAATGCCATTTCTTGTAAATTATAGGTCATTACTTTTCATAATTTATTGTATTATCTGGAGCATAAATTTATAAATTATGGTGATGATAGTGAACGTATTTAAATGGAATTTTTGTTTCACTCAAAGGTTTTGATTTTATAATTTTATTTTTAAACGAATTAAGTTTTACTGCTCTTAAGTTTTAAAATTAATTATGTTTAAATGGAAAATTATATTTACATATTAAATGGAAAATAAAATTCATATTACTGCATTATCATTTAATATTCATTTTTCTATGGCTCCTCTTCATATAATAGATGCTATGGTTTTCCACACCTTTTCAATACTTACCTTTAGCACTAATATTTTTGTTAAAAAGTTATTTTCTTCTTACTCAAAAGTAGATCTAGACTTAAGTATACTTCTCCATAGTCTCCTGACTCTTAAGCAGTATTCTTAACTTTTGTGACTGCTATTCCTCTTCTCTCAGCAAGAGACCAAGCAAGACATTTGAGAGACGAGGCACATACAATTTTTATTTACTCAGAACACCGCCAATAAATGATGTTTTTATAACTCTCCAAAGATTTTAAACTAAAAATTGTAGTTTTCATTATATTCAGAAATGACCTGTCATAGTGAATTTTTCAATAATTATATGTCTCCCTAGGTTTATTGCTATTTGAATAACCCCTATTCCTATTATCTCTTTTCATTGTTCAAATTACCTTTGTACATTGTGATCAAGTTATCAGGTGACAAATCCCGCATTATAATTATAATAATATGCATAAATATTTAGCTTTGTATTTATTTTACTCTTTCTTATTTGTAATATCTCAAGGGCCTTCAAATTTTAGACCAAAAGTCAATCAAAGTGTTTTCCTAAAATTTATGTTTCTGCTTTCCTCCCTATTTAGTTTAAGAATATATAAGGAAGAATAACAGTTTAACATAATTTCCAAAACTTCATGCCTGTATTGCTGGATTAAATCCAGTTTTTCAAATAGAAATGAGAATATTTTGCCTAATATTTATAGGTTGGTCTTTCAAAAATCTTTATTTACAAGTATAAATAAAAATTCTCTGAAAAATAATTTAAAGAAAAGAGATTAGATGGAGCAGTTTGCAAACCAGGGAGATGCAGCCTTTGGTGTAAAATGAGGTGTGTTCCAGACAATAAAGGAAGATTTATCATTTATAGAGGAAGTTCTGGCCCAGGGTTCCCACTTAAGGCCTGCTTATGCAAATGAAGGATTCAAACTTACTTAGTTCTAATTGGATAATGCTTGCTGAGTTCTGATTTTAGACAAAGATCACAGTGTACTGGTTGGTTTAGGTGGCATAAACAGGAACAGGTAGCTAAGAAATCCCAAAATTAAGGACACATGGGTTTTCCAGTACCTCAAGGTGTGTGTGTGTGACCTCTAATCAGTAAATGGCCACTTAGGTCCAGTTTGAATCTAGGCCACTCAAGATTCATCTTGAGAGATTGGCTCCCTCAGCGTTCACACAAATAAAATGAGAAGATAGCTTTTATTTTCACCACTAAGTTTAAAATAATAAGCCAGATAAATGTTTCATAAAATAATTTTGAAGCATTTTCTCCAGGAGCTTGAAAGTTTTATATTAAATAAGAATTTGTTCTTTCTCACTTGTTCAGTGGAGTTAATTTTTCAAGCTATGAAAAATGCAGTGGCTCATGCCTGTAATCCCAGCACTTTGGGAAGCCAAGGCAGGTGGATTGATTGAGCTCAGAAGTTCAGACCAGCCTGGGCAACATGGTGAAACCCTGTCTCTACAAGAAATACAAAAATTAGCCGGGCAGTGGTGGCACCGGCCTGTAGTCCCAGCTACTCACGAGGCTGAAACAGGAGAACACTTGAGCCGGGAAGGCAGAGGAGGTTGCAGTGAGCAGAGATGGTGCCACTGCACTAAAGCCTCGGCGATGGGAGTGAAATATACTCACTCACTCACTCACTCTCTTTCTCTCTCTCTCTCTGTCTCCCTCTGCCTCTGTCTCTCTGTCTCTCTCTTTCTCTCTCTCTCCATATATATACATATAAAAAAATGATGGCGATGATAGTGAACATATTTAAATGAAATTTTTGTTTCACTCAAAAGTTTTGATTTCAAAATTTTATTTTTAAACAAATTAAGCTTTTCTGCCCTTAAGTTTTAAAATTATGTTTAAATGGAAAGTTATATTAATGTAATTTTTGATATTACTGAGTCATCCTTTGGTATTCATTTTTCTATGGCTCTTATTCATATAATAGATGCTATAGCTTTCCACACCCTTTCAATATTTACCTTTGGCACTAATATTTGTGTTAAAAAGTTCTTTTCTTCTTACTCAAAAGTTGATCTAGAAATAAGTATACTTCTCCATAGTCTCCTGACTCTTTTATTATTATTATTATTATTATGTTACTTTAAGTTTTAGGGTACATGTGCACAATGTGCAGGTTAGTTACATATGTATACATGTGCCGTGCTGGTGTGCTGCACCCACCAACTCGTCATTTAGCATTAGGTATATCTCCTGACTCTTAAGCAGTTTTCTTAAATTTTGTGACTGCTATTTCTCTTCTCTCAGCATGAGACAAAGCCAGACATTTGATATATGTATATAAATATATCAAACTAAATTCAAAGACGATATTTACTCTAAAATATTGATTTCTGCACCTACTTTTCCAACTCATTTTCCTTAAACAATTATTGCTTGTTTTAGACTTCAGTTTATCTGCTCATGCTCTAGAAAGTGCTGGGAATGCCTGCAGGCTTGGTTAGGGTCTCAATCCTTTGTCTTCTAGAATATTCTTATTATAACATCTGTCATATTTCATTTTCATTGCTATTTAACTGTTTTTATTTCCTACCATCATATCTTAAGCTCCTTGAGAGAAATAACTAGTTTGTATTTATCATAGTCTCCTGAAAGCTTGACATTAGATAAATGCTGAATGAATTAGAGGAATAAATTGTTGCATTGACAGAATTACTTTTTAAAGACTTTTTCAGATAAAATTATCCTGTTGTGGTAGCCATGGAGATGCAACACTTGGAGTGCCCTTCAAGATAGAAATTCCTGATTAGCTGGGAAGAATGCAGTTTGCTGACTGGCTCCATCCTTCCGGGTAAGCTCCAGTTTATGAGCTGAAAACAATTCCTTTATTGGCAGGCTCCAGCCAAGTGTTGGCATGCAATGTGGGCATCCTTTAATGGGCCATCTTTGATCCAGGGCTCTCATTGTGTTATCTGCTACTCTTTCACATCTGTATCATGGTATGAAGCCCTGCCCAATCCTGCTCCATGTCCCTTTGCTTTCACAGGTTTCTGAGAGGATAGAGGATTTATCCTGCTCAATTCTGCTTCCTTCCGCATTTATCTTTCACTGGTGTTATTCCCAAATAAATTGTTTATACTGCTACCTCCTACTCAGCATCTGCTTCCTGTTGGACTGACTGAACACCACTACTGATGTAAAAGATAATTTAAAACTCTGAATCACACAAGAACACAAAGCATTTTTAAGCCTGAAATGAATTCAGATGGCTGCTAAATGCTCAGCTTTGAATTGATAACCATCATTCACTTGTCACTCCTTAGTGAGATTTATGCTTAAAGCTTCATATGTTTAGAGTTTTAGTCTTGTTTATTTTCTTCAATATTGGTTTTCTAGTAGACGTAACAGTTATTTCCACTCTTCTATTTATTTAAGAGCAATATTTTTATTATTTTAGCATGGATGTATTATTATGTTGTTCTAACTCTAATCTTAGAGCCCTTCTGTGAAATATGTGTAGTGTCACTTTAAAGTTATATTTTAATTTCTCAGCAACATTAAAAATTGCTCTATTATTACAGCTATAATTCTTGTGTTCCTGTTTTGCAGACAATTTCACTACACAGGTCAAACTTAGTCCTTAACTGTAGTCTCTATAATTGGATCCATTCTTATTGCAAACTCAAAAAATGAAAGTTCTAAAGCACAAGTCACTTAACTCTCTAAGACACAGTGATTTTGGAGACAAAATCCAAAGCAATTAAATAAACTATTGCAAAGTTGTTGTTTAGCATACCATTAAGGTCTTTTGTAATGTGAAGATGTAGCATCTGTTCCTTTCCTCTTTCTCTTCTCTCTTCTCTTTGCCTTTTTCCCTTCTTGAAAAATTTAGTTTGATAACCTTTAAGTTAGAGTTTCACATGAAGAATGGTGGAAGTCTTGGTGGCCTACAATAGAATATCAGAGCCTATGTAAATTGAAGATGTCCATGTGGTGGGAGGTGAGATGTGATGCTGAACTGGTACAGCATCAAAGCCTGACTCTAGAGAGATGCCATTCATGCAGAAGAAAGCCCAAGGAAGAATGTTAACTTGAGTGGTAAGAAGTAATGTCCTATGTATGGCACTATTCCTCATAAAGTGTTCAAACACGAGTGTGTTGAAGAGGATGTCTGCCTGTGTGTATGAGGATTGGAGGAAGTCATAGCAAAGAAGGATCAGTTTCATACAAAGGGATTGAAACTGTGTGTGTGTGTGTCTGTGTAATAATGGGAATCACTTTCTATCAGAGAAAGGAATTACAAATATGAAAAGGGAGAAAATAAAAATGAACTGTGCATGATTGGATTTGGAGTTTGAGTTTTGGTATGAATTCATGGTATTGCATATGCAGATGAATGATAGACACATGGTAGATAGACACATGACAGATAGGTAGAAAAAAACACAGATGTAAATGCATAAATCTGTACACAGACACATGCAAACATACATACATACATACATACATACATACATACATACATACATACCCTAGCTGCGTCCACTAAGAGACCATTGGAGCTGTGGCACCTCAATAGTAACAAACAATTATTATGCAAAGATCTTACTTTTGAATTACCACTCTCCACCAGAAGAAACTAAGGCTCATGAGAGAAATGGCTATTTTCAGCACTATGGATGTTAAATGACAAGATGAGACTGAAATTTAGGGCTGTACCAGGAAACTTAGAAAGGTTTAAAAACTAATGGAAACATATAAAAAGGGATACAGAAGCCAGCTGAAAGCTGGTCCAACTGGCAAAGTTATGTGTGAAAATAAGTTATGATAATAGAAGTTTATAATTACTTGAATAATGTGAAAATCTGTAAGTCCATACTTATGTAAAATATAAATAATTTGAAAGCTTAATGAAAATATAAAAATATGTTTTATGAAAAATATTTATATAGTCTAAAATACATTGTATACTTGTATCAAAATATCAAATGTATACCCTTTATGTGTACAATTTTGTAAAAATAATTAAAAAATAAAATAAAATATATTTTTCTACAAAAAAAGAGAAACAAAGTACCTTTACAATGGGAGTCCTGTGAGATACCACGTTAATCAAGAGAGCTATGTAATGGAGAAATTAAAATTGTACATCATATGATAGGAAATGTAAGAGGAAAAAATAATGTTATAAAAAATTGACATTCATTTCAAAACCATATAAACTTTATTTTTTCTTAAAATTTTATGGTATCATTTTAAAAATTAATATAATAATTTTATCCTTGCCTATATCACAAAACTTTATAAGCCCCCCAAAACAGAATTTTATGTAATAATTTTTAAAACATTCACATAAACATCAGTCACTTTTAATAATTCATCAGAAGAGAGTTATATGAGAAGTGATTCTCCTAGGTGACTGAATAGTTATATAAAGCTAGAATGATAATTGTAGATCTCAGAGCTACAGAGGAAAAACTAGTCTGCTCCCACAAATGTCTTATTTTAAGACTTTCTTTAACATTTAAGGATTAACTAGTGGAGACAGATAATAAGGTTGAAAGGGAACAGGGAAAATCACACATGGAGAATGGAGAGAATTTAGCCAATATGCATAATTTTAAATCTGACTTAAAGTATGCAAGTACTTTATAGAATTTTATATTCTAACTAAGAAAATAATCAAATTATGATATCAACAGACTTAGAGAAAATATTCCCTATATTTGTTACAGAATAGATTACTATCCATAATAAGAGAACTAAAACAAAAAAAGTCAAGAAAAAAATGGACAGAAATGGAAAAACAATTGACTTACAAAACCAGTGATTATGCTCAGGCTTACTGTATTTATCTGTAGGTGTTTTTAGTTTAAAGCAAATGAAATGTAGTATGGAGTTTATTTAGAGAGCAGTTATATTTATTAAAATAATATTTTGTAGCTCCAAGAAATTGTGGGTGAACTTGAAAATGTTCAGATCTAAGACAAAAATGATGCCACAATACTGTTCACATTGCAGATACCCCCACTGCATTTGTTGAATATAAACACCATGTTTGCAACATTAACCTCAGTGACACCTGACAATGGAGATGCTGCTGGTATGTCAGAAGTGATTTTGGTGAGATTCCTGTTTACTTGTGTCTCTAATTACTGACACAGCATCTACGTATAGAGTACATATCTAACTTGTAATGCGTGCATGTTTCATTAATTCAAGGGAAGTTAGGCCTAAGATATTGATCAATTCATGCAGACTGCACACAGTACAGAAGAGGGGCTCCCAAAAGGTAATAAGAAACTATTTTAAGGATGCTACACAGTCATGAAAGACGGATAGGCATAAGAAGGAATTTCATTATTTTTAATTTTTTAATTTTTTAAGTTTACATACACAAATGTACATATGCACATAATGGGAATGCAATATAAGTTGTGTGTGTGTGTGTGTGTGTGTATAAACATAAAGAGGTTCAATGAACACTGAAAGTATTTCATCACTGTGATAAATTAATACAAATAAAACAACACTGGGCATAGGTTTCCTCTAAATAACACCTCCCAAATAACACTTCCACAGGCTGACTCAAACAGAGTGAAAAGAAACAAAAGGAATTATGCAATTTAGTAACCATTTACTTGTGAAAAAATAAAGACAAAAATTTAAATCTGTACAATAATTTAAAAGCAAGATTTGTCAATATAGCCAAATTCTTGACCAACCAGTAAAAATTACAGGAAATTATTTTCAATAATTATGCAAATGTTTTGATAGAAACATGTTCATCTGTACCAGAATTGGTTTTTATAGAAAGATTAAAATAGGACAAATGAAATTTTATTTTTAAATTATTATTATTATTTTGATAGAGTTTCTCTCTATCACCCAGGCTGGAGTGCAGTGGCGTGATCCCCGCTCACTTCAGCCTCTGCCTCCTGGGTTCAAGCGATTCTCATGCCTCAGCCTCAAGTAGCTGGGATTACAGGTGCGTGCCACCACACCCAGCTATTTTTTTTTTACTTTTAGTAGAGACGGGGTTTCACCATGTTGGCCAGGCTGGTCTTGAACTCCTGGCCTCAAGTGGTTCATCCACCTCGGCCTCCCAAAGTGCTGGGATTACAGGCATGAGCCACCATGCCCAGCAACAAAATAAAATTTTAAGTATATTGCTGTAATGGAATAAAATACAACTATTAATATAATGTTGTAAAAGTTCATAAAAAACCTCCCAAATTTTCACAACTTCATTCATAGCAGTCGCAAAAGTGGAAACAACTCAAAAAGATTACAAACTGTGATATATATATATATTACGCAACAATAAGGATTTCGAGACCAGCCTGGCCAACATGGTGAAACCCCGTCTCTACTAAAAATACAAAAATTAGCTGGGTGGTGGCGGGCGCCTGTAATCCCACCTAATAGGGAGGCTGAGACAGGAGAATAGCTTGAACCTGGGACGTGGAGGTTGCAGTGAGCCGAGATTGTGCCACTGCACTCCAGCCTGGGCGACAGAGGGAGACTCCATCTTAAAAATAAAATAAAATAAAGTAAAAAGAAAAAGCTGAACATTAAAGAATAAATCCTCTCTAATTTTATTTGAATAGAGTTCTAGAGCAGACACAAGTAATGTGGAGTGATAAAAATCAGATCAGTTGTTGCCTGAGTCGAGGAAGCAGACAGGTGCAGTTGGAGATAATGATTGCTAAGAGCAGGAGGTAACTTTCCGGGCAGATGGTAAGTTCTTTATCTTGACTGGGTGCTATGTACGCAGATACTACATACAAATATACTTTTGTTCTTAGAAAGAATAATAAATATGAAGCAGAAAACCCTTTGAGATGATGGCTATATTTATGGCATTGGCTATGGTTATGATTTCACAGGTACAGACTTAACTCCAAGCGTATCAAGTTGTAAACATTAAAAATGTGCAGCTTTTTGTATGTCAATCATACTTCAATAAAATGGTTTAAAAATGCACAGGTGTCAAAAAAAGTCATTGTGCATCAAATGTCTTTACAACTCAAAAAATTATGTTTTAGAGGTGAGATTATGATGTAAGAATATTTGTGATACAGTAAATTAAAAAGAGGGCTTTATAAAACTGTGTAATGCATGTAAGATGTACGTGTGTGTATGTGTGTATGGTAAGTATGTGTATGTGTCTAAAGAAAAACTGCCAGGAACACATAGACTACTGTTTTTGTATGTTTATATTGA
The DNA here is from genome assembly GCF_000001405.40 of Homo sapiens. Taxonomy (NCBI): domain Eukaryota; kingdom Metazoa; phylum Chordata; class Mammalia; order Primates; family Hominidae; genus Homo; species Homo sapiens. The sequence continues at coordinate 102,583,772 of NC_000009.12, forward strand.
ATTTAATTGTAGGTATTCACTTATTTTCCACATTAAAATTAAAAATGCAAGCACAATAAATTATTTAGAAATGGACTGATGGAAAAGCAGCTAAGTCAGAAGCAATGGAAGTAAGTTCTTTGTACCTGAATGTACACACATCTGCACTGCAACCACAAACATAATTTCCCAATTTCTAATTTTTCTATTTGTCTCTTACCACACACTAATCTGATATTATTTAATATATCACGTTATAGCTTGTTGATCATTTATTATTATCATATTTTCTTTTTTTTCCATGAGTTATGCTATCCCTGCATAATAAGGGAAAAGTAACAATTCTATTCATTTTTGTATCCTGGTGACTAATAGAAAGTAAAAATGAAATTGCTGATTATTAAATGGATCAATGAATTCCCTAGCGGCAGAAAATATATTGGCCAATGATGGCTATATCCAGAACTACAGAACTCCTGTAAACTTTGGCCACAATGGACCAAAAATGGTTAAAACAAAAATAAATGTTTGTAGGTATTATTTTGACACTTTCTTCCCCATCTTATTTAAAATTTGGATTTAATATCAGGTAAAACAATTTAGTGAATTTTCTTCCTCAATTCATAGCACTTTTTAAAAATCATAAGTCCAGCACTGGACATTTTATATTTATGTTTAAATTTGCTCATGTCCTTTCATTATCACTTCTATTTCCTGTCCTCCTATAAGAACTATAGTACACAGTTTCATACAGATACTTACATATAAGTGTAGCTATAGTGTATTTGTGGAATAAATGCTTTAATATATACAAAGAGTATTATGCTCTAAATATTATCCCCTTCCAATTATTCAAAATTATTAGTGCATTCTTGTAGGTTTTGGGAGACTTTCTTTGGCAATTTGCTGAACCACAGAGCAAAAACCACATTTAATTTCAATAAATAATGCCAGACTGCTTTCTACCATAGCTTTCACAATTAATACACCTGAGAGTAGTAGAGTGTGAAGTTTCCCTCCCCTTACAACCTTTCCAACCCTTGGTATTATACTCCAATGCGCTATTCTGTTATTCTGATGTGTAATGTGGTATCCTTCTTGTACCATGGGTGCAAAATAAATCTTTATTATTTTAAGCTATTGAGAATTCTGGATCGTTTGTTACTAAAGCCTATAACCTGTCCTGATTGATTCAATGCCTATTCAAGCTTTCACTCTACTGAATGTTTAGAGCCATGTCAATTGGGTGTCCCTGAGGTTGTTAAGCTTGGGGTTTTACTTTGACAATTTAGATATTAAAAACACATTTGTTTGTTACCACCTTACCAGCTATTTATGCTGGAAAGTTAAAAGGAGACTGGAGTACAATACCAGCCAATTGTAAGCATATAAAATGTCCATTATTCTATGTAATCCTTGCAATTATTTATGATGGATCATGATTTTGAAGTTGTTCAACTGTGAGAGCTGCTACTATATGATATGTCTCTAATTATCTATATAGCCATATTAAAATACAGCCACAGTGTTTTGTATAAAACGTTCAATTCTTAAGTATGTAATAGCTGATTTAGGTAGATGGGAAGCTTGATTAAAGCAGCAGCAATCAAAGTACTAGTCAAAGTAGTAAAATTAACCACTATCCTTAGGCAGTTGCAGAAATACTTGCAAACTAGTGTACTCTGCCATTTGGAATTAAATAAGAGCAGGGATATGGTGTCACAATTTCAATAAATCATTACATTTAATTAAACATAGCAATAGAAGAGCTACACTCTTAATTAGGACTTATGGTTATAAGTATTTTAGAAACAATACAAAGTAATCAATTTGCTGGCCTGAAAGAATAGAAAGTGAAAATACACTTACTGAACTTGATTTTTCACTCTATATTTTATTTTTTATCACAAGCATTTACATGAAAATAAAACTCCATAGTGTTTTATTCTCCAACGACACTGAGATTGTCATTGACATTTTTTCTTTCTTGGCTTTTCCAGGTGGACAATAGAAATCTTGAATGCTTATGGTATGGGTGACCGTAAAAGAACAAATTCAATGTCTAAGGGTAAGGTCCAGGACTCTCTTTTGATTTTGAGATACAGAAACACAATCTGAACCAGTTTAGGCAACACAAAGAAACATAGCAGGGGATAAAGGAACATCAATGATTGCTAAAAACAAAATAAAATGCAATTAGGATTCTATAAATTTGTATCCCATTTGTCCTAAGTTCTCTATGCAAATTTAATTCCCTCACCAAAGATTTCTTCATGAAACCGTAAGCATAAACTCGATATATTTCTAGTTTTGAAATCCAAAAACTTGGTTTTTCTTAGTTCCAGTTTTAACATTCTACGACCACCCAAAGTAGCCTGGTGTGAATTACATAATCATCCCCATGACAAGGGGCTGGGCAGTATACTTTCCTTACAACCCTGGTTAAAATATTTGACTCTCCTTAAGGAAAAAACACCTGCAAGTAAATGTGCAGAGGTGAGAGGATGCAGGAGACAGAGGGAACAGATTGCATATATGTAATTTTTCTAACTTTAAAAGTTGAATATTATTAATGGATTAAACTTTGCTATAGGTAAGCATAGCAAGTAAGCAAGTAAGTAAACAACAATAACAAGCAAAAACAATGAAATAATCACTGGCCCCTTGGCCCCTTGAATCCCCCTCTGAAGCATAAGACAAAAAATAAAAATGAAAAGATTAACTATAAAATGTTTATCTAAATTACCCAGAGTTGTTAAAAGACCCTAAGATGTCTACCAACTCCACAATTATCACAGGAAATTTGGTGAAAGAAAACAAACAATACTACTAGGTGGAGAAAAATGTTGCACATTTTTTATTATAAAGAACAGCTAAGGACAGGTGTGATAGCACACACCTGTAATCCCGGCACTTTGCGGGGATGAGGTGGGCAAGTTGCTTGGGCTCAGGAGTTTGAGACCAGCCTGGGCAACATGGCAAAACCCCATCTTTACCAAAGAAAAAAAAATGGTGGCACACAAAGAACCAGGTAAGCTGATGCTGTCTAGGGCAAGAGAAGTTGGATGTCCCAGCTCGAAGAGTGAGAGCAAATTTGCCCTTTCTCTGCCATTTTCTTTTAATTTACAAAAATTGTATATATTGTCACATACAAAATGTTTTGTAATATGTATACATTGTGGAATAGCGAAATTGAGCTAATTAACATATTCACTACTGCACATACTCATCATTTTTGTATGGTGAGAACAGTTGAAAAATACTATCTTAGCAGTTTTCAACCATATAATACACTGTTATTAACTATAGCTGCACACAGCTGTGCAATATTTATTTATTCTATCCACCTGAAATTTTGTATCCTATGAACAACATTATCTCAACTCCCCCATCCCCTGCCCCTGGTAACCATCATTCTACTGCCTAGTTCTATGAGTTTGACATCAGAAAAGGGGTTGATATCCAAAATATATAAGCAACTCAAACAACTGAATATTAAGAAAATATATAACCCAATTGAAAAATAGGTGAAAGATCTGAATAGGCATTTCTCAGAAGAAGATAAAGAAATGGCCAAAAGGTACATAAAGAAACGCTTAAAAATCTAATCATCAGAGATATGCAAATTAAAACCCCACTGAGTTATCACTTCTGCATTTTTATCTATTTGGGCTTTCTCACACTGTGGAGGGCCATCTGCTTTAATCATCTCACTAATCTAAATGCTAATCTCTTCTGGAAACATCCTCACAAAGACACCCAGAAATAATGTTTTACCAGCTGCCTGGGAATCTCTTAGCCCAGTAAAGTTGACATAAAATTAATCACACCCTACAATGGCAGAGTTGAGGAGTTGCAACAGAGATTGCATGGCCCGCAAAACTGAAAACATTTGCCATCTGGTCCCTTACAGAAAAGGTTTGGCAATTACTACCTAATTTGATTATTTCATGTCTTTTCTTTGATCCCCAAATCTCCTATGCTTCCTCTGATATTTTCTCCACTTTCATTGAGAAAATCAGTCTAACACACACAAATATTCTCATCTTCCCATCACAAAACACAAACTTATTTCCATTTCCCCCTATTTTACTCATCTTCAATCAGTTTAAAAGGAGGAAGTGCACTTTTTTTCTACAAAAGGTTTATCATACTTGTAGTGCTCCGAGTCCCATCCTTTATTTTCTTCTTCAATATATTGCCCCTTCTGTAATTCCTTCTCTCTCTTTGCATTACTCCTTGGCTTTCTATTCTTGGTTAATAAAGGTAATAACAGTAAAAGGTGAAAGGGGTTTTTTGTTTGTTTGTTTCCTGGGCATAAACTCATCCTAGAAAATATTACCAGTTTCTGTAACTGTCCTTTTCCTTCTATGCTTCCAAGTTCACAGAAATTTAATGATGTCATAAACTCATAGGGGACTGATTGATACATTTCACCAGAGTAATCCAAGATCTAGTAATCATACTTCTTTACTCCCCCAATGAATAATTCCATTTCTCAGTGATGTTAATCTCAACAAGACTGCAAAGGAAAGAAAGCTGATTGATTTAATTTATAGGAGTATTGAAGGCCAATAATCTCTCCATTCAGAAAGATATCTTATTTGAAAAGCGAAGACTTGCTATTCAAAAGGATTTCTAGCTGGTGAAATTTTCAGAACAAGAAAGAGAAAGAAACCATTGTAAGTGATAGAAAGTCTGTTGTTGTTCAGTTTTTGTTTGTTTTTGTTTTGCTGCACGAAGGGCACCACATAGCTTTTTGTTCGTTTTTTTGTTTTGTTTTGTTTTTTACAAGGGCTTCTAATTATGATTATTATCTATTTCACAATAAAGTGATTTAAACAATATATTATAGAAATAGCAGCAGGAGCAGCAATGACAAACATTGACTCAGGTATAGAATTCTGTTCACTAGGCACCGTGCTCAGTACTTTAAATGTATTATCTCAGTTGATCATCAACCCTTTGAGACAGGTATGCTCGTTTTACCCATGAGGAAATCAATCTTAGAGCAGCAACTTGCCCAAGATCACTCAGTTACTAGGTGATAGTGTAAATCAAAGCACCCTGAATCCTGAGCTTTCTATATTTGTCATTGGACTATCTCTTGTAAACAAACCCAAACTGCAAAAACTGCATTGTCACCAAGAAAATGATTTTAGGACATCACCAGTACCCATATCTAGTTGGAACAGCCAAAAGGCTGAGAAAGAAATATGCTAAGGTTATAACAATAATAGCTAATACTAATTGAGCCTTTTATATAAATTTATCCTCTTAATATTCACAATAATCCCTATGAGATAGATACTTTCATTATAATTTCATGTATGAGGAAACTAAGTTACAGAGAGATTAAGTAACTTGCTCAAGATGACACAGGTAGTCAAAGAAGAATTATGACTTGAAATTAGCATCCTGGGCCCCCAGCTCAGTCTTAATCTCTCAGTCTCTGCAGTACTTAGTTGTATCCTATTCTGTTTGGTCACATTTTTTCCATACTCTTAGAATCCTTAGATAATCAATATTGAAACTGAAAACTACTGATTACACACACACACCCACACACACACACAAATTCATGCAAGCCCACTATGATGAGCTATTTGGCAACTTAGAGCAGACTATTTTCTCTATAACCACAAAAAATAGGTCACTCAAGGCAGGAAATCACAAGTGGAAGGGGTATCTGAGAAAACGTGCTGATCTCAGTGAGTTATGAGGGTGTTTTGTCACAGAGAATTATAAAATGCAATTCTGGATGGCTTTGAAGAGCAGATGGCATGAATAATTATATTATCTTATTTACTTTACATTACAACCACAAAGAATGTAGTGCTATTGTCATTTTGGGAGATTAAGGGGTTTATTCATTTAACAATTGGTGGTGCCCAAAATTTAAACATAGCTCTAACTCCAAATCCTGGTATCTTAATATCTGACAGGCTCCAAAAAAATGACAAGGAATAAAGAGACCATTTTAGGAGTCAATGTGTTTACAAAACAAACAAGAAAATAAGAAAAACAATGAAGGGAGAAAGGAAGGATTTTTTAAAAAGATTATATTATCATTATGCCACTCTTAAAATTAGAAAGGATTTAATCGGGTGAATTAACAAAGAGAACTTCATAGCAATAAGCTTGTAAGAATGTTTCATAAATTCATGGTAAAGCAATAAAACTGAGGAAAAACACAGAAAACATGAGGGGAAATTACAAAAATTATTTTATAGCTGCATTAAGAAATTCTACCCTGCTCAATTTCAAATAGGGCAAAATTTTTATGAGGTACATAGACGTATCAACAAATTAGGTTTGTTTGTTTGTTTTTGAGGAGGTGTGGGATACACGTGTAGCATTGTAGCATGAGTTAAAAACAAGTGCTTATAAAAAATTGAAATTTAGGTGGAATCTTAATGGATATGAGGTAATTCTATGTGGGACAGAAGATGGAGTATAAAATTAAGGTTCATGAAATTGTAAAAACTTGAGTGGATCAATTGGGACTTAACCAACACCCTGAAATTGCCCAGAAATAGTAATGAGGTAGCATAGAGTCCTGGCTAAGAGTATGAGCTTTAAAATAAGAGTACCCAAATGAAAATCCACAATCAATGTACCAAATCCTCGTACCAAATGTCTGTTTCTCACTTACAAAATTGGCTTTTTATCAACAACATTCATATCATAAAGTTGGTGTGTACATTAGGTAAGAAAATATATGTAAAGTACATGGGGTATTTGGTATATCATAAACAACAAATGAAATTTTATGATATATACAATTATGTTATTGATATCTATATAAATCTATATCTATCCATATTTATATCTATCATAAATCATTGGGTCAAAGTTGGGCTTAGCTGAGCACTCTGTCACTTCTCCTAAATATTTTTTCTGAATATTCTTCCAGGAAATGGAATGAGTGAGAACAGAGATAATCTTAATTTACAGAGAAGAGACTAATTATGGTTTGTGATAATGATCCTTTTGAGTCTGAAAAGAAAAGGAGGACAGTCATTCAGGCTATTGTTCCTCTGTTAGCAATGTTTACTTCCAAAAACTCTGTTTTCTGGAAGCTCTTATATGTTCTGTCTCTCTCTCACACACAAAACTCTCCTGATAATATCTATTTAACTAGTTCACAAGTCAGTTATTTCTGTATGCATGTATCTCGAGTCTGAGATTTATCCAGCATTCTTTCAACATATATGTACTGGGTATTTAATCCTTCACAAGGTCTACAGTGGACACTGAGGGACAAACCAGAAAATGTGCTCTCTTTTAGCTTCTAATCTGGTGAGAGTGACAGAAAAAGCACAGGTGAGGTAGCAGTATAATCATGAAACACATAAAGCAAAATAACAAGGTAGAGTAGACAGAGTTTGTTCATACAGACTGATCAGAACAAAAAACTGTTAAATTATGTAGGAAATTATGTAAATCTGGAACTGGAATTACCTTTTAATAATACGCAGAGACATTAACATAAACTGTCTACGGAGAGTGAAAAAATAATAAAACAGAGAAATACGAGAGATAAGAGATAAGGTATCACTGAAAATAAGGAGATAATAAACACATTCTTCACATTAGAATTTCTGGTTTCTGTCCCTCCTGAGGTCTAACTGTGTTTCCTAACCATGCACCATTCCATTGCTTTACCCTGTGTGATTAAGCTCCTTGTTGATTATTTGCGACCAAATATTACATGAATACACAATACATCACATAGTGATACAGAGTTCTCAATTTGACTTGCATTTCATGGAAAGATCTTCTTTCAGGATAGGATTAATGGAGACATACTGGGAGAGGAGTATGAGTGAAAGACATTTTCTGTTACACAGATCTTTCTGTCTATTCTAAAACCTCCTCAGTAAACTTGGACCACACTTGATTTCTTACACTTTCTTGTCTCTTAGGATATTCTCTCTGCCGCTGCCACCACCTTTCCCAAAAAATTGTGAGGTTTGTTTTGTCCTTCTTGAAACAAAATTTCCTTGTGCTTGGTACATTGTAAGACTTCTAACATTGTTATTATTCTTATCACCATCATCTCTATCTTTTTCTTCTTCATTATCATCATCACCACCCTCCTATTTCTCATTATACAACTAGTAAGAGGATAACCTTGTATTTCTAAAACTAGGCAATCTGGCTCTATAGTAGAATGTACATAGATGTAAAGTAAATACCAAAGACTCAGTGCTAAATACACAAGAGGCTGCAGTAAATAACTTAAGCTTGATGTAATTCTAATTTAACTAAAAACAATCATTCTCTTTGGACCACTTAGGTTGTATTTTGGCTCAAATCACTTAATAATGGCTTCATAATGTGCTTTTCATGAGGCTGAGATAGATAGGTAATAACCTTATCTGAGTAAGTCAATATTGTGCTTTTAGAAAGATAAGTGATTTAACAGATTCAAGTACTAGCTCTAAAACATATAATTTTTTTTATCTTGTAGTCTATTAAAGATCTTTAAGCCTCATCAGTAATAGTGGAATAATAATATCTACTTTGGGGTTGCTGTGAATCTTAAATAAGATGAGGTATGTGAGTTCAGTTGCCTAGTGTGTAGGAATTGTTCATTAAAAATAAGATACTTTCCCTTAAGCCTTAGTCAGATTCCAGTTCTAATAACTAGGTTCCTGGTAAAACTTGAGAATAAATGTAATGAAATAAGATTTGTATAAATGATAACTAAAATGGTAAAGTCTTATGAACTATAAAGCAGCATTTTTATACTTATTATATAAAGCCTTGTTAAGTTCAGTAGATCACAGTGTTAATGGGTACAGTCTGCTTCTGGTGCTTTACTTTCAGAGATTATTCACTGTGGAATCAGTCAATTGGAATGTCTTTCTTTTAATTGACTAATATGTTACCTGGAAACATTTTCTTTTCCTTGAAAATTATTGCTAATTCCTGACACTATTGTCTAAAGCAACAACATTTCTTTTCACCACATTTTTTCAGCAATTTCTCTCTCTCTCTCTCTCTCTCTCTCTCCTATTCTAGTTATTTTTATGCCCTTGTCTATATTTGAGACTATGACAAGAATATCCTCAAAATATTGCTAAGCATGTTTATAGTCTCTCAATTTGTTCAAATATTTTTTGACAGATGTACTGAAAAATAAACTACTTAAGAAAAGAATAGGCCAGGCATGGGGGCTCACATCTCTAATCCCAGAACTTTGAGAGGCAGAGGTGGGTGAATTGCTTGAGCCCAGGAGTTTCAGACCAGCCTGGGCAACGTGAGGAAACCCCATCACTAGTAAAAATACAAAAATTAGCTGAGCACGGTGGCGCACATCTGTAGTCCCAGCTACTCCAGAGGCTGAGGTGGAAAGAGGAGGTTGCAGTGAGCCGAGATTGTCCTACTCCACTACAGCGTGGGCAACACAGTAAGACCCAGTCTCAAAACAAACAACAGAATATTAAATGTACAATACAATTTAGACATATATTAATTATACTTTCCCTGCTTACTGTTAATTTTAAAAATGCCTAATACTTCCACAATGGAGGCAGCCTGGTATAATGGATATACCCGCATTCACATGCCAGCTCCACCATCTCTGATTGTGCGAGTTTGGGACAATTACCTAACCACTTTTAAGCTTCTTTTCCTCAGTATCAAAATAATATTGAGAATTTATCCATCATAGAGTTATGGTAAGAATTAAATGAAATTATATGTGCCTATTGCATATCAAGAAATAGGAAAAATTTAACTCATAGTTGCTATTTTCTTTCAATAGTATGTATTACTTAGCAAGTATTTACAAAACACTTTCAAATGCATTATCTTGCATATGATAACTCTGTTATTTGATAGAGAAAATAGTATAAACCCCATTTCATAGGTAAAGTAACTAGAATCTATATTTCCTGCCTCCAAATCCTTGTACTTTAAATAGGCAGTCACATGTCTTTTAACTGAGTTCCCGGACCCAGCAGGACATTCTGTAGTTGCTCCCAAGACAGAGATATCTAGACAACTCATTTAGAACAAGTTTCTTCCCGATCTTTGAGAGCAAATGCTCATGACTATTCCTTTCATTTGGCTTTTCAATACTTTTGGAGGAATTTCAATTAACTCAGAGGTTAGTATAAGGATGAAAAGTTAAAGTTAACTAAACAAGTTATTTCATATATTTTTACTATGTATGCAAACCAAGATGTTGCAGAGGCTTGCAACATATTTTGAAAAAGGATAAAAAATATCACTTGAAGCTAATGATTAATAAGAAAAAATAATAATGATGGAATAAATGCAGGCAACAAACATTTAATAAGGACCCATTTGAATATTCTTACTCTGCAGTGAATTCAATTGGAACCCAAGTTTAATTTTTTGAAGATATCATAAAGTCAATAAAATAATACATCTAGCCAAACCATTAGGAATATTGTAATTTTAGACTATTTACATTAAATGCTCTTTTAAAAAATTGCTTCAGTGTTCCTAATTACATTTAAAAACAGGATTCGTAAGTATACATGGTTAATACAACTCTGGCAATGCCATATTTTTTTGGTATTTCTGAAAAAGGAAACCACAAGATATTTTTCAGCAGAATTCATTTTCATGAAACTACATAGCAGATTTGCTGACCAAACATGTTCTAGTAATTTGTACTTGGAAGGTTTTTTTTTTTTCTTAATGTATTTCTATGCTGGATGACTATGTAGATGAGAAGATGCGTCTGTGTATGAAAAGTGGCCCAAATGCTACTCTCAGTGATACATGAAAGCTATGAAAACACCGAATAAATACCCTGTACATAAGCACATCTTATATTTCATGTTTAAGTTAACAAGAATTCAAATGTTTATAATCTCCAGTGAAACTTAAGAGATATTCATATAGCACACACAACTGCTTATATTAGATAGCCATCTGTTTATAGATATCAAATAGCTCATATTTCGAAACAATTTTTTTGTTGTTATGTAAGTTAAAATTTGACACATGGTAGGGTAAGAGGCAATAGTAAAAACATGCTGCTGAAAAGAAACCTGATTAATTACGAATAGAAGGATATTTTAGCACAGATTTTTTTCCTATTTCTCACAACTATAATTGATATGTCAATATTATTGTGAAAACTGTTTCTTTTTTATTATATTTTAAGTTCTAGGAAACATGTATACAACGTGCAGTTTTGTTATATATGTATACATATGCCATGTTGGTGTGCTGCACCCATTAACTCATCACTTACATTAGGTATATCTCCTAGTGCTATCCCTCCCCACTCCCTTCACCCCACAACAGGCCCCAGTGTGTGATGTTCCCTACCCTGTGTCCAAGTGTTCTCATTGTGCAATTCCCACTTATGAGTGAGAACATGCGGTGTTTGGTTTTTTGTCCTTGCGACAGTTTGCTAAGAATGATGGTTTCCATCTTCATCCATGTCCCTACAGAGGACATGAACTCACCCATTTTTATGGCTGCATAGTATTCCCTGGTGTATATGTGCCACATTTTCTTAATCCAGTCTATCATTAATGAACATTTGGGTTGGTTCCAAGTCTTTGCTATTGTGAATAGTGCTGCTATAAACATACCTGTGCATGTGTCTTTATAACCTCATGACTTATAATCCTTTGGGTATATGCCCAGTAATGGGATGGCTGGCTCAAATGGTATTTCTAGTTCTAGATCCTTAAGGAATCACAACACGGTCTTCCAAAATGGTTGAACTAGTTTATAGTCCCACCAACAGTGTAAAAGCATTCTTATTTCTCAACTTCCTCTCCAGCACCTGTTGTTTCCCGACTGCTTAACGACCACCATTCTAACTGGTTTGAGGTGTTATCTCATTGTGGTTGTGATGTGCATTTCTCTGATGGCCAGTGATGATGAGCATTTTTTTCATGTGTCTGTTGGCTGCATAAATGACTTATTTTGAGAAGTGTCTGTTCATATACTTCTCCCACTTTTTGATGGGGTTGTTTGATTTTTTTCTTGTAAACTTGTTTGACTTCTTTGTAGATTCTGGATATTAGCCCTTTGTCAGATGGGTAAATTGTAAAAATTTTCTCCCATTCTGTAGGTTGCCTGTTCACTCTGATGGTAGTTTCTTTTGCTGTGCAGAAGCTCTTTAGTTTAATTAGATCCCATTTGTCAATTTTGGCTTTTGTTGCCATTGCTTTTTGTGTTATAGACATGAAGTCCTTCCCCATGCCTATGGTCTGAATGGTATTGCCTAGGTTTTCTTCTAGGGTTTTTATGGTTTTAGATCTTTAATCCATCTTGAATTAATTTTTGTATAAGGTATAAGGAAGGAATCCAGTTTCAGCTTTCTACAGATGGCTAGCCAGTTTTCCCAGCACCATTTACTAAATAGGGAATCCTTTCCCCATTTCTTGTTTTTGTCAGGTTTGTCAAAGATCAGATGGTTGTAGATGTGTGGTATTATTTCTGAGGGCTCTATTCTGTTCCATTGGTCTATAACTCTGTTTTGGTACCAGTACCATGCAGTTTTGGTTACTGTAGGCTTGTAGTATAGTTTGAAGTCAGGTAGCGTGATGTCTCCGGTTTTGTTCTTTTGGCTTAGGGTTGTCTTGGCAATGTGGGCTCTTTTTTGGTTCCATATGAACTTTAAAGTAGTTTTTTCCAATTCTGTGAAGAAAGTCATTGGTAGCTTGATGGGGATGGCATTGAATCTATAAATTAACTTGGGCAGTAGGCCATTTTCAAGATATTGATTCTTCCTATCCATGGGCATGGAATTTTCTTCCATTTGTTTGTGTCCTCTTTTATTTTGTTGAGCAGTGGTTTGTAGTTCTCCTTGAAGAGGTCCTTCACATCCCTTGTAAGTTGGATTCCTAGATATTTTATTCTCTTTGAAGCAATTGTGAATGGGAGTTCACTCATGATTTGGCTCTTGTTTGTCTGTTATTGGTGTATAATAAGGCTTTTGATTTTTGCACATTGATTTTGTATCCTGAGACTTTGCTGAACTTGCTCATCAGCTTAAGGAGCTTTTGGGCTGAGACAATGGGGTTTTCTAAATATACAATCATGACATCTGCAAACAGGGACAATTTGACTTTCTCTTTTCCTAATTGAATACCCTTTATTTCTTTCTCCTGCCTGATTGCCCTGGCCAGAAGTTCCAACACTATGTTGAATAGGAGTGGTGAGAGAGGGCATCCCTGTCTTGTGCCAGTTTTCAAAGGAAGTGCTTCCAGATTTGCCCATTCAGTATGATATTGGCTGTGGGTTTGTCCTAAATAGCTCTTATTATTTTGAGATACCTCCCATCAATACCTAGTTTATTGAGAGTTTTTAACATGAAGGGCTGTTGAATTTTGTCAAAGGCCTTTTCTGCAACTATTGAGATAATCATGTGGTTTTTGTCGTTGGTTCTGTTTATATGCCGGATTACGTTTATTGATTTGCATATGTTGAAACCAGCCTTGCATCCCAGGCATGATGCCAACTTGATTGTGGTGGATAAGCTTTTTGATGTGCTGCTGGATTCGGTTTGCCAGTATTTTATTGAGGATTTTTGCGTCGATGTTCATCAGGGATATTGGTCTAAAATTCTCTTTCTTTCTTGTGTCTCTGCCAGGCTTTGGTATCAGGATGATGCTGGCCTCATAAAATGAATTAGGGAGGATTCCCTTTTTTTCTATTGGTTGGAATAGTTTCAGAAAGAATGGTACCAGCTCCTCTTTGTACCTCTGGTAGAATTCGGCTGTGAATCCATCTGGTCCTGGACTTTTTTTGGTTCGTAAGCTATTAATTATTGCCTCAATTTCAGAACCTGTTATTGGTCTATTCAGGGATTCAACTTCTTCCTGGTTTAGTCTTGGGAAGGTGTATGTGTCAGGAATTCATCCATTTCTTCTATATTTTGCAGTTTATTTGCATAGAGGTGTTTATACTATTTTCTGATGGTAGTTTGTATTTCTGTGGGATTGGTGGTGATACCCCCTTTATCATTTTTTGTTGTGACTATTTGATTCTTCTCTCTTTTCTTCTTTATTAGTCTTGCTAGCCATCTATCAATTTTGTTGGTCTTTTCAAGAAACCAGCTCCTGGATTCATTGATTTTTTAAAGGGTTTTTTTGTGTCTCTATCTCCTTCAGTTCTGCTCTGATCTTAGTTATTTCTTGCCTTCTGCAAGCTTTTGAATGTGTTTGCCCTTGCTTCTCTAGTTCTTTTAATTGTGATGTTAGGGTGTCAGTTTTAGATCTTTCCTGCTTTCTCTTGTGGGAATTTAGTGCTGTAAATTTCCCTCTACACACTGCTTTAAATGTGTCCCAGAGATTCTGGTATGTTGTGTCTTTGTTCTCATTGGTTTCAAAGAACATCTTTATTTCTGCCTTCATTTCGTTACGTACCCAGTAGTCATTCAGGAGCAGATTGTTCAGTTTCCATGTAGTTGAGTGGTTTTGAGTGAGTTTCTTAATCCTGAGTTCTAGTTTGATTGCACTGTGGTCTGAGAGATAGTTTGTTATAATTTCTGTTCTTTTACATTTGCTGAGGAGTGCTTTCCTTCCAACTTTGTGGTTAATTTTGGAATAAGTGTGATGCAGTGATGAGAAGAATGTATATTCTGTTGATTTGGGGTGGAGAGTTCTGTAGCTGTCTATTAGGTCCACTTGGTGCAGAGCTGAGTTCAATTCCTGGATATCCTTGTTAACTTTCTGTCTCGTTGATCTGTCTAATGTTGACAGTGGGGTGTTAAAGTCTCCCATTATTATTGTGTGAGAGTCTAAGTCTCTTTATAGGTCTCTAAGGACTTGCTTTATGAATCTGGGTGCTCCTGTATTGGGTGCATATATATTTAGAATAGTTATCTCTTCTTGTTGAATTGATCCCTTTACCATTATGTAATGGCCTTCTTTGTCTCTTTTGATCTTTGTTGGTTTAAAATCTGTTTTTTATCAGAGACTAGGATTCCAACCTCTGCTTTTTTGTTTGTTTTCCATTTGCTTGCTAGATCTTCCTCCATCCCTTTATTTTGAGTCTATGTGTGCCTCTGCATGTGAGATGGGTCTCCTGAATACAGCACACTGATGGACCTTGACTCTTTATCCAATTTGCCAGTCTGTGTCTTTTAATTGGAGCACTTCGCCCATTTACATTTAAGGTTAATATTGTTATGTGTGAATTTGATCCTGTCATTATGATTTCAGCTGGTTATTTTGCTCGTTTCTTCCTGGCATTGATGGTCTTTACAATTAGGCATGTTTTTGCAGTGGCTGGTATTGGTTGTTCCTTTCCATGTTTATTGCTTCCTTCAGGAGCTCTTGTAAGGCAGGCCTGGTAGTGACAAAATCTCTCAGCATTTGTTTGTCTGCAAAGAATTTTATTTCTCCTCCACTTATGAAGCTTAGTTTGGGTGGATATGAAATTATCGGTTGAAAATTCTTTTCTTCAAGAATGTTGAATATTTGCCCCCACTCTCTTCTGGCTTGTAGAGTTTCTGCCAAGAGATCAGCTGTTAGTCTGATGGGCTTTCCTTTGTGGGTAACCCAACCTTTCTCTCTGGCTTCCCTTAACATTTTTTCCTTCATTTCAACTTTAGTGAATCTGACAATTATAGGTCTTGGAGTTTCTCTTCTCAAGGAGTATCTTCGTGGTGTTCTCTGTATTTCCTGAATTTGAATGTTGGCCTGCCTCCCTAGGTTGGGGAAGTTCTCCTGGATAATATCCTGCAGAGTGTTTTCCAACTTGGTTCCATTCTCCCTGCCACTTTTAGGTACACCAATCAGACATAGATTTAGTCTTTTTATATAGTCCCTTATTTCTTGGAGGCTTTGTTCATTTCCTTTTACTCTTTTTTCTCTAAACTTCTCACTTCATTTCATTAATTTGATCTTCAATGACTGATACCCTTTCTTCCACTTGATCAAATCGGCTACTGAAGCTTGTGCATGTGTCACGTAGTTCACACCATGGTTTTCAGCTTCATCAGGTCATTTAATGACTTCTCTACACTGTTTATACTAGTTAGCCATTCGTCTTTTTTCAAGGTTTTTAGCTTCTTTGTGATGGGTTGGAACATCCTCCTTTAGCTTGGAGAAGTTTGTGATTACTGATCGTCTGAAGCCTTCTTCTCTCAACTCGTCAAAGCCATTCTCCATCCAGCTTTGTTCCATGGCTGGCAAGGGCTGCATTCCTTTGGAGGAGAAGAGGCGCTCTGATTTTTAGAATTTTCAGCTTTTTGGCTCTGGTTTCTCCCCATCTTTGTGGTTTTATCTACATTTGGTCTTTGATGATGGTGACGTATAGATGGGGTTTTGGTGTGGATGTCCTTTCTGTTTGTTAGTTTTCCTTCTAACTGTCAGGACCCTCAGCTGTAAGTCTGTTGGAGTTTGCTGGAGGTCCACTCCAGACACTGTTTGTCTAGGTATCACCAGCGGAGGCTGCAGAACAGCAAATATTGCAGAACAGCAAATGTTGCTGCTTAATCCTTCCTCTGGAAGCTTCGTCTCAGAGGGGCACCTGGCTGTATGAGGTGTCAGTCAGCCCCTACTGGGAGGTGTCCCCCAATTAGGCTACTCGGGGGTCAGGGTCCCACTTGAGGAGGCAGTTGGTCCGTTCTCAGATCTCAAACTCCATGCTGGGAGAACCATTACTCTCTTCAAAGCTGTCAGATAGGGACGTTTAAGTCTGCATAAGTTTCTGCTGCCTTTTGTTCAGCTATGCCCTGCCCCCGAGAGGTGGAGTCTACAAAGGCAGGCAGGCCTCCTTGAGCTGCAGTGGGCTCCACCCAGTTCGAGCTTCCTGGCCACTTTACCTACTCAAGACTCAACAATGGTGGACGCCCCTCCCGCAGCCTCGCTGCCACCTTGCAGTTTG
Organism: Homo sapiens; assembly: GCF_000001405.40. NCBI lineage: Eukaryota > Metazoa > Chordata > Mammalia > Primates > Hominidae > Homo > Homo sapiens. The sequence continues at coordinate 102,600,593 of NC_000009.12, forward strand.
ATCTCAGACTGCTGTGCTAGCAGTGAGTGAGGCTCTGTGGGTGTGGGACCCTCCAAGCTAGACATGGGATATAATCTCCTGGTGTGCCATTTGCTAAGGCTGTTGGAATAAGGCAGAATTAGGGTGGGAGTGTCCCGATTTTCCAGGTACCGTCTGTCATGGCTTCCCTTTTCTAGGAAAGGGAATTCCCTGACCCCTTGTGCTTCCTGGGTGAGGCAATGCCCCGCCCTGTTCTGTGGGCTGCACCCGCTCTTGGACAAGCCCCAGTGAGGTGAACCTTGTACCTCAGCTGGAAATGCAGAAATCACCCATTTTCTGCATCGCTCATGCTGGGAGCTGCAGACTGGAGCTGTTCCTATTTGGCCATCTTGGAACCTCCGAAAAGTGTTTCTTAATATCATAAAACCTCTATCATCAGTAGAAGCATGGAAAAGATTATCTCTTGATGTATGCAAAAAATAAGATGTTGGTTGTAGGGAGTCCAAGGTAATGTATGTATGTGTGTAGTTCAATATAAATTGCTTATGCATTGTTCAATACACAAAGAAATGTATTTATTGTTTATGATAAATATATACTTATTGATACATTTATATATTAATTTATATAAAATTATATATAATTTTAATAATGCAAAAGGTAACAAAAATACATAAATAATATACCTTTTTGAAAAGAATAAATTATGCAATGTATCTTCTCATTGTTAGGGAGGTTGTTGATATGTGGGGTTCTCTAATATATACTCTAATCAAATAAAATAAAATGTAAATTATAAAAATTGATCAGAAAGGTCTATAATAAAATAATGGATGATAAATATTAAATATTATTGAAATAGAATTGTCTAATCTAATTTGAAATACAACATATGTAATTTGAAAATAACACATCAGTCACCTATAATAATGCCAACCAAAATTACAGTTCAAAAACAGATACTTGGGAAAAACTAAAATGAAATAAGAGCCAGATGTCAATGAAATAATCACAGTTACATAATTTTGCTAAGGATTACTAACCAAAACGGTGTCATGTCCATAAATCTTAAAGAATTAACTTAATTGAACATGTAATAAAAAGTTCTTGTTTAGTATAGATCATAGGGAACAATGTAAATTTTTCCAAAAATGAAACCAGCATTTATCAAGCTTATTATTGTAAAGTTAGAGTTGAAAACAAAAGCTACCTCCTACCTTTATTAGTGAATTTAGATATTTTTAAAGTCCAACATTAAATTAGCAAAATATGCCCATTTCTATGTGTCAAACTAGGGGTATTCTAGCAATACAGACATGAACTTTGGAAGAATTGTACTAAAATTATTTTTTCTTACATATTCTTGAATTAGGTAAGGAGAGAAGCAGGGACATAAATTTTAGAAAAACCACTTTGACTTACTTTTAGCCTACAAATTGAAGACGGTTTCCAATCCCAATTTCAATTCACTTGGAATTGAAGTATTCTAGTGAGGAAAGAGTAAAACAAATTAAAAGCTAAATATTTTTTGCTCATTAGTATAAGTGTGACTTGAGATTTATCATCTAGTGACTTGGTGACAACTCACAAAGTAATTTGAAACTATGAAAAACTATGACTGTAGGAAATAGGGTTTAACCAAATGGCAGTAAACAGCCTAAGGGGAAACAATTATTTTAAAACTTACTATTGTAAGTGGAGTATTTACATCTCCCACTATTATTGTGTGGGAGTCTAAGTCTCTTCAAAGATCTCCAGGAATTTGCTTTATGAATCAAGGTCCTCCTAATTTGGGTGCAAATACATTTAGGATAGTTAGATCTCCTTGTTTAATTGAACATTTTACCATTATGTAATGCCCTTCTTTGTCATTTTTTATCTTTGTTGGTTTAAACTCTGTTTAGTCAGAAACTAAAATTGCAACCCCTGCTTTTTTCTGTTTTCTATTTGCGTGGGAGATTTTCCTCCATCCCTTTATTTTAAGCTATATGTGTCATTGCACATGAGATGGGTCTCTTGAAGGCGGCATACCAATGGGTTTTGATTCTTTATCCAGCTTGCGATTCTATGTCTTTTAATTGGGGCATTTAGCCCATTTATTTATTTATTTTTAATTTTTTTATTTATTGATCATTCTTGGGTGTTTCTCGGAGAGGGGGACTTGGCAGGGTCATAGGACAATAGTGGAGAGAAGGTCAGCAGATAAACATGTGAACAAAGGTCTCTGGTTTTCCTAGGCAGAGGACCCTGTGGCCTTCGGCAGTGTTTGTGTCCCTGGGTACTTGAGATTAGGGAGTGGTGATGACTCTTAACGAGCATGCTGCCTTCAAGCATCTGTTTAACAAAGCACATCTTGCACCGCCCTTAATCCATTTAACCCTGAGTTGACACAGCACATGTTTCAGAGAGCACGGGGTTGGGGGTAAGGTTATAGATTAACAGCATCCCAAGGCAGAATAATTTTTTGTAGTACAGAACAAAATGGAGTCTCCTATGTCTACTTCTTTCTACACAGACACAGTAACAATCTGATCTCTCTTTCTTTTCCCCACATTTCCCCCTTTTCTCTTCGACAAAACTGCCATCCTCGTCATGGCCCGTTCTCAATGAGCTGTTGGGTACACCTCCCAGACGAGGTGGCGGCCCGGCAGAGGGGCTCTTCACTTCCCAGACGTGGCGGCCGGGCAGAGGGGCCCCCCACCTCCCAGACGGGGTGGCTGCTGGGCAGGGGCACCCCCCACCTCCCAGACGGGTTGGCTGCTGGGCGGGGGCGCCCCTCACCTCCCAGACGGGGTGGCTGCCGGGTGGAGGTGCTCCTCACTTCCCAGACGGGGCGGCTGGGCAGAGGTGCTCCTCAGTTCCCAGACAGGGTCACAGCCAGGTGGAGGCGCTCCTCACTTCCCAGACGGGGTGGCGGCCGGGCAGAGGCGATCCTCACCTCCCAGACGGGGTGGCAGCTGGGCAGAGACGCTCCTCACCTCCCAGATGGGGCGGCCGGGCAGAGGCACTCCTCACATCCCAGACGGGATGGCTGGGCAGAGGCGGTCCCCACATACCAGATGATGGGCGGCCAGGCAGAGATGCTCCTCACTTCCTAGACAGGATGACGGCTGGGAAGAGGTGCTCCTCACTTCCCAGACTGGGCAGCCAGGTAGAGGGGCTCCTCACATCCCAGATGATGGGTGGCCAGGCAGAGATACTCCTCACTTCCCAGACTGGGCGGTTGGGCAGAGGGGCTCCTCACATCCCAGATGATGGGCGGCCGGGCAGAGATGCTCCTCACTTCCTAGATGGGGTGGCGGCCAGGCAGAGGCTGCAATCTCAGCACTTTGGGAGGCCAAGGCAGGCAGCTGGGAGGTGGGGGTTGCAGCGAGCCGAGATCATGCCACTGCACTCCCGCCTGGGCAACATTGAGCACTGAGTGAGCGAGACTCCGTCTGCACTCCTGGCACCTCGGGAGGCTGAGGTGGGCAGATCACTTGAGGTCAGGAGCTGGAGACCAGCCCGGCCAACACAGCGAAACCCCGTCTCCACCAAAAAATACAAAAACTAGTCAGGCGTGGCGGAGCGCGCCTGCAATCCCAGGCGCTCGGCAGGCCGAGGCAGGAGAATCAGGCAGGGAGGTTGCAGTGAGCCGAGATCGCAGCAGCACAGTCCAGCCTCGGCAACAGAGGGAGACCGTGGAAAGCGGGAGACAGAGATGAGGGAGAGGGGGAGACCGTGGAAAGTGGGAGATGGAGACGACGGGGAGAGGGAGAGGGAGAGCCCATTTATACTTAACATTAATATTGATATCTGTGGATTTGGTCCTGTTGTCATTACGGTAGCTGGATATTTTGCAGGCTTGTTTATGTGGTTACTTCGTAGTGTCACTGATCTTGTTCTTCGGTGTGTCTTTGTAGTGATTGGTAACAGTCTTTCTTTTCCATATTTAATGCGTCCTTCAGGATATCTTGTAAGGCATGTCTAGTAGTAACAAATTCTCACAGCATTTGCTTATCTGAAAAGGATCTTATTTCTCCTTTGCTTATAAAGCTTAGTTTGGCTGGATATTAAATTCTGGGTTGGAAATTATTTTCTTTAAGAATATTTAATGTTGATCCCCAATCTCCTCTGGCTTGTAGAATTTAACTCTGTCATCTCAGCTAAAAAGCTTCTCTTTTTATTTATTTATTTTCTTTGAGACACAGTCTCACTTTGTCACCCAAACTGGAGTGCAGTGGTGTGATCTCTGCTCACTGTAACTTCTGCCTCCTGGGTTCAAGTGATTCTTGTGCCTCAGCCTCCTGAGTAGCTGGGATTACAGGCATGTACCATCATGGCTGGCTACTTTTTCTATTTTTAGTAGACATGGGGTTTTACCATGTTGGCCAGGCTGGTGTTGAACTCCTGACCTAAAGTGATCCACACGTTGGCCCTCAAAATTGCTCAGATTACAAGTGTGAGCCACTGTGCCTGGCCAAAAGCTTCTAAAATTAATAAACAACTTCACCAAAGTCTCAGTATACAAAATCAATGTGCAAAAATCACTAGCATTTCTACACACCAAGAACAGTTAAGCTGAGAGCTAAATCACAAATGAACTCCCATTCACAGTTTCCATAAAAAGAATAAAATACCTATTAATACAGCTTACTAGGGAGATGAAATATCTCTACCAGGAAAACTATAAACCACTGCTCAAAGAAATCAGAAATGACTCACACAAATGAAAAAAACATTCCATGCTCATGGATAGGAATAATCAATATCATGAAAATGGCCATACTGCTCAAAGCAATTTACAGATTCAGTGCCATTCTTAGTAAACTACCATTTACATTCTTCACAGAACTAGAAGAAAAACTATTTTAAAATTCATATGGAATCAAAAAGCAGCTGTAACAGCCAAGGCAATTCTAAGCAAAAAGTTCAAAGCTAGAGGCAGCACAGTACCCAATTTCAAACTATACTACAGGGCTACAGTAACCAAAACAACATGCTACTGGTACAAAAACACACACATAGACCAATGGAACAGAATAGAGTACCCAGAAGTAAGACTGAGCACCTACAACAATCTGATCTTCAACAATCCTGACAAAAACAAGCAGTGAGGAAAGAACAGTCTATTCAATAAATTGTGCTGGGAAAACTGGCTGGTCACATGCAGAAGATTAAGTCTGGACTCCTTCCTTACACAATATACAAAAATTAACTCAAGATAGATTAAAGACTTCAATTTAAAGCTCAAAACTACAAATACCCTGGAAGACAACCTAGACCATACCATTCAGGACATAGGGACAAGCAAATATTTCATCCTGAAGACACCAAAAGCAATGGCAACAAAAGCAAAAATCAACAAATGGGATAAGGGCTTCTGCACAGAAAAAAAAAAAAACTATCAACAAAGTAAACAGATAACTTGCAGAATAGGAGAAAATTTTTTCAAACTATGAATCTAAAAAATGTGTAATATTCAGCATATAGAAGAAACTTAAACAAATTTACAAGAAAAAAATGAACAATCCCTTTAAAAAGTCTGCAAAGGACATAAAACAAACACCTTTTTACAAAAGGCATACATGTGGCCAACAGTCATATTAAAAAAAGCTCAATGTCACTAGAGAAATGCAAATTAAAATCACAATGAGATACTATCCCACATCAGTTAGAATGGCTACTATTAAAACATCAAAAAATGGCCAGGTGTGGTGGCTCACACCTGTAGTCTTAGCACTTTGGGAGGCCAAGGCAGGTGGATCACTTGAGGTCAGGAGTTTGAGACCAACCTGGTCAACACAGTGAAACCCCATCTGCACTAAAAATACAAAATTAGCCAGGCATGGTGGCACATGTCTGTAATCCCAGCTACTTGGGAAGCTGAGGCAGGAGAATTGCTTGAATCCAGGAGGCAGAGGTTGCAATGAGCCAAGATTGTGCCATTGCACTCCAGCCTGGGCAACAAGAACAAAAAACTCCGTCTCAAATAAAAAGTAAAAAAATAACAGATGCTGGAGAGGTTGTGGAGAAAAAGGAATGTTTATACACTGCTGGTTGGAGTGTAAATTAGTTCAGCCATGTGGAAGACAGTGTGGCAATTCCTCTAAGACCTAAAGACAGAAATACCATTCAGCCCAGCAATTGCATTACTGGGTGTATACCCAAAGGAATATAAATCATTCAATTATAAAGACACATGTATGTGTACATTCATTGCAGCACCATTCACAAGAGCAAAGACATGGAATCAACCTAAATGCCCATCAATGATAGACTGGATAGAGAAAATGTCATACATACACACTGTAGAATATATGCAGCCATAAAAAGAACAAGATTATGTACTTTCAAAGGACACAGTTGGAACTGGAGGCCATTATCCTTAGCAAACTACCATAGGAACAAAAAACCAAATACCACATGTTTTCACCTATTAGTGGGAGATAATAATGAGAACACTTGGACACATAGAGGGGAATAATACATACTGGGACCTTTTAGAAGGTCAAGGGTGGGAGGAGGGAGAGGATCAGAAAAAATAACTAACAAGTACTAGGCTTAATACCAGGGTGTATGAGTCAGGGTTCTCTTAGACAGACAGAACTAATAGTATAGATGGATAGAACTATTAGTTCTAAGAGAATCCTGACTCATACACATACACACACACACACACACACACACACACACACGTTTGATCACAAAGCTTATTATTTTAAAGTTTTATATAGATAAGCTAGATATATATATAGGGGAATTGCTTAGGTAGTAACATACATCATCACAAGGTCCCACAGTAGGCTACTGGCAAGCTGAGGAGCAAGGAGAGCCAGTTCGAGTCCCAAAACAAGAACTTGGAGTCTGATGTTCGAGGGCAAGAAGCATCCAGTGTGGGAGAAAGATGTAGGTAGGGAGGGAGGCCCATCTCTCCTTTTCACATTTTTCTGCCTGTTTTATTTTTATTTTTATATTTATTTATTTATTTATTTATTTATTTATTTATTTATTTATTTTTGAGATGGGGTCTCACTCTGTCGCCCAGGCTGGAGTGCAGTGGCCTCCTGATCTCGGATCACTGCAACCTCTGCCTCCCAGGTTCAAGCGATTCTCCTGCCTCAGCCTCCCAAGCAGCTGGGACTAGAGGCGTATGCCACCACACCTGACTAATTTTTTGTAGTTTTAGTAGAGACAGGGTTTCACCATGTTAGCCAGGATGGTCTTGATCTCCTGACATCGTGATCTGCCCCCCTCGGCCTCCCAGTGTTGGGATTACAGGCGTCAGCCACTGCTCCAGCCACCTGCTTTATTTATATTCACTGGAAGCTAATTAGATTGTGTCCACAAGATTAAGGGTGGGTCTTCCTTCCCCCAGCCCACTGACTCAAATGTCAATCTCTTTTGGCAACATCCACACAGACATATCCGGGATTAATAATTTGTATCATTCAATCCAATAAAGTTGACACTCATTAACCATCGCCCTGGGTGATGAAATAATCTATACAACATAACTCCATGATGCAAATTTACCTATGTAACAAACCTGCACTTGTACTCCTAAACTTAAAATAAAAGTTAAAAAAAAAAAAGGAAATTTTTTCTTTTCTGCCATATTTGGCAGGTCATTTTTGAACATAATGAAAATCATTATTTTTTAAATTTGAAATCTTTAAAGAGTGTTATGCACAAAATTATTTGTTGCTTATTTATTTAAATTCTAACCATATGTTCTTTTTAACTAAGGCTCTAGCAGTTTCAAGATTTCTAAGTTTCCTTTTCCTTCTTTACTCAACTTATGATTCTATATCATAAAATTTCAGGACACCAATAGTAATTTCTATGAATCAATATTTTTCCTTAAATCAGAATACTGGTATTTAATAGATCAAATATTTACATTTTAGACCAATTTATTTTTGCCTAAACACTTCAAAGCAATACAACCAAAGATGTTAACCTATTTAATTTCTCATTTTAATCATTATAAGTAACACATTATACATTATGTGTCTTAGTTATATGTATAAATAAATTTACAACTAACAGACATTTAGTATTTTAAACTTTATAATTAAAACCAATTTTGTATCTCATTGCAAGAGATATATGTATATCTCAAAAACTGCCAAAAAGTTTTTCTTGATGTACTTGGTCTACATATAAGGAAACAGCAATTTTAAGAAAACAACAGTAAAAGTCTATTTTAAAATTGATACCATTATCTGAAGATTATAATACTTCAGCTATTTTAAATGTAATACTATTACAACGTATCTGTGTACCCTAGGAGCTAAGGAACTATCTCAAGTTCTCTGATCTTTAGTTTTTTTATCTTATTCCATGCTCCTGTCTCTACGTTTCTCGTCTAGGTTTGGATACTGTGATTATTACATTACATTTTATAGGGATATATACTAAAACGTTTACTGGCCTTTGAGTTCAGGAGGAGTAATAGCCACTTTAGCACAGCGGCCCCAGGATTAGTTCCATTATCCCCTCAAAGGAAGTCCTAGCCTCTAGAGACGCAATATGACCCTGTGCCTCCATTGCATTTCAGGGTGATACTCCAAAACTTAAACTCCTAGTGTCTGAGTCCTGATCACCAGAAGTGTTTTGTTTGATTACAGATCGTGTAGATGGCAAGACATTCCCAGAACTGCAAGCACCAGGCTCCTTTTGCGCCCCTCTCCAGATTGCGGTTTTCCTGTACTGTTTCTTTTCCCCCAGGAGTTAAGATGACTTCAAACTTCTCTTGTAGAAAACTTCCAGAAGCTTTTCACAATATTTGTATCAGATTCAGTAAGATGAATCCACTTAGTTAATCAATATGAAAAAAATTTATGAACAAGTGTTGGAGTCAGTGACAAGATATGTTTTCTAAAACCTCGTGATTACACAGCATTGTCTTAGAGTCCCTTGTCATGCATCCTGGGAAATATACTGCTGCAAAACTAGCAAGGGCATAGTCTTAGAGGGTTGATCAAGCTGGAACTGCTTCTTTAGCAACTTCCTTCCCACACATGGCTTAATTTAAATTTCCCGAGAAAAACTGCCTATGGCTGCTTGGTAAAGACTAAGAGAGTTGCTTCAGGCTCTATTACCCTCAAGTACTGAGCCTCCGTTTTCTGGTTGATTGCCTTAAATTCAGCTTCTTCCCTAATGCTGTCCCATTTGAATGAAGTCCAGGAACTTAAGATTGTTATATATGCAATTGCTAGGAGACAGAGATAATACCATTGAATTCTAGCTACCTCTATGATAATGAAAACAACCAAGGAAAATCATTTAGTAAAGCTGGCTTTTGAAGTCTAGCTATGTCATTAAATTAGTTATGTGATTGAAAGCCATGCAAACTATCATTTTTCATCACCAAAAGTAGATTTTAATTAAAAAGTCATAACACAGTCAATGGTTATGAGAATAAACTAATTTATGGGGAACATTTTTTGATTATTTGTTTTTAAATATGCTACTAATCAGATAGAAATTCACTTTTGTTCTTTGAGAATCAAATTTAAACACATGAATGATAAAACATGTCTCATTAGTTTTCAATAATAAGGCAAGAAAGGAATTCGTGCTCCATTCCACAGGAGAGCTTTGCAGATGACACAAACGAAACAATTTTTAATGTAGTTGAGGTTGGTTCTTAGAAAAGCCCATTTTATTTTTTTTCTCTATGCTAGGTAAGAACATTTCTCGAAATCTTTGGCAAATTCTTTTTTCTTTTCTGGTCCTTCTACTTCCTCCAAACTTTGGTCACAGATCCACCTAAATTAAAATGTTGAGAGATTGCTATTTATAATCTTCATTTATCTAAACCCTCTATTCTTGGTCCTAAATATCACCATGATCAACCAGCACGTTCACATACACAGAATGTTATTCTTTTTCAATGTAATTTGTGAATTTGGAGGGAAAAGGCCAAATACAGAATACTTGAAATTGTGAAATATATTTCCCTTCCCTGCACCCCTCAAGTGAAAGGTACTGTAGTATTAGCATTTTTCCTTTTATCCCACTCAAATAGAGATCCTGCCTTCCAACCAACACATTTATAAGCATATATTTCTCTGATATTTTTAATGTACTTTTTTCCCACTGGCTTCACATGACCAGAAACAACAACTCAGCAGAATCTCTTAAATATTGATATGAAGTTAAACATAATACCAAAATCTCTCACAGGCTCTTTCTTTCCTTCTCTGGGTAAACAGATCTCTTTCTGCCAACAAACTCCCAGAGTGAAGAAATTGTCCAGGGCTAGAGAAAAATAAGTGGAATAGCTGTTCCAATACAAGCCCCCAAGTCTTTCCACAGAGTCCAGAGTCTGATTTTTCAAAATTATTTGCCAAAAGGGTGTTCTCAAAATTATTCCAACTTAAGTTGGGATTATGGTAATTATAAAGTCAACAATAACAAAAAAATTCCAATGAGGCACCCAGTTCGCAAACTCCAATGACAACTGTTTTCAACATTCAGTGGCTGACAGGGCAGAAAATCTGAAGCTGAGAGACAAGTAGCACCTCTGAAGCCCTTTAGGCTAAAAAAGGTATTTGACAGAGAAGGAGTCTCTAATACTTCATGAAATATATTCTGATGTCATCTAGAATGGAGGTTGCAATCTGCTGCATTTGGGCGTTTGCTTCACTGTGTTCCTGGATGTCACATAACAAGCCGTAATCTTTCTTCAAATAACATTTTGCAGTATTTGCTGAAGTTTTTACTGCAGATACGATACATAGCCCATCATGACCAGTGTCAAATCATTGGTTCAGAAAATTTATCAAGGAGTGGGAAAAAATACCTTGAAGGATCTGTAGGTCACTAACGCTGCCATCTTACACCTTGAACTTGGCCAATTTGGTATGGTTGCATGAAGCTCCTGGAGAGGAAAAAATCTTTGCAAGTTATGGGATATTTAGGCTGTTTGCCAGATGTCAGGTGGGTTATGACATCTGCAACAACATAACTGACTTCTCTTTCTTTGCTATGGAACAGAATGCTGATAGGCTATACCACATCTTTAGTGGCCACTTTGAAAGAAAGTTTTCTGACTTCAGTGAGATTATTCTCCCAGACTTACACAAGGATTGCCAATTACTTGATTTTCAGTAAAGTGCTTGCAGGAAGCTGGAGACTCATCTGTAAGATGTTAAGTACTTTTAAACTACACAAGATGGTACCATTCTCTAAATTCTCAGTAGCCTTTTGTTTTACTATTGCTAAAAGTTCCTCAATTGCCACAAATAGCTCTTCTTCAAGTTGTGCAGTTTGTGCAAGTGAGAATTGCAAGGCTAGGATAGAGCTGGATGCTCACTGCCTCGGTTTTCTTGGAGTTTTCATATTTACAGAATCATCTCATAACAAACTTGGCAGCATTGAAACTGTCAAATGAAACATCCACAAGAATATTTGCCAAGCCGTCACCATAAGGACTTCATCAGCCCGAGGGAAACCAATGCTCTGGAAGGTACAATGTTCCATCAGGTTTTTCAAAACACAATTTCTTTGGGTTAGCAATCAGGATGTTCAGACAGATGTTGACCAAAATGTAGAGAGATGCTTCCTCCTGCACCACACAGCAGCCCAAGGGATCCTTTTGAGCATCAGGAAGGATGATGATCCAGGGTGAGAGACCTGGTGCAAAAGGTGCATCATATTGACTGCCTCCAGTAGGGCTTCCAGAAGAGAGAAGCCATCAAGCCTGTCCAGATCTCCTAAGATGTGATGTTAGCCCAAGCTCAGAGATTGCAGGGCAGAAGCTCCGTGTGCTGCACACAGCACTTCTATCGGGGAATGTTGTAATATCTAACAGAGTGAAATGATAGGGTATAACTTTCTTGAGCTAAAGTAAAATTCAAGACTTCCTATGGGAAGAATTATTCAAGTAATTAGAATCAAATAAATAGAAACTTGACCAAATATATATTCCTGTGAAATTTTAGGTATTTACTAAATAAATCCTAAAAGTATTACCCCAGAGGAAGAGAGAGGGACACAAAAAATGTGGCAAGGCAATGGAGAAACAAACACAGAGTTTAAAGGGAAGAGGTTTTAATCAAATAATGAGTAACTCCAAGGCAATGATTCAAATTTTTAAATAATCAAAATTTTAAAAAATTCATAAAATAGATATGATAAAAAACAGAATAATTGTTTCAATAGTAATCCCCAATATGTCTACAAAACTATGTAAATATTAATCAATATTTTAAAAATAAATTATAAAAATAATAATTTGGATAAAAATGACTAATTATATCAGCAAAAATTCCACGTACAAGACTTACATGCAGGGAGGTGGTATTTTTCTTTTTCACTGGAATAACATTAATTTTTAGTATAGACCTATACTAAATAATAAGTATGTACAGTATATCTGCATATTTATATAAAGCTTGCATATTCCCCTAGAAAAAATTACCTTACAACTTAACATCTTAAAACAACAATTGTTTATTATTTCACACAATTTCTGAGGGATCAGGAATAAAATGAGAAATGTAGTTTAAAAATTACTGTGGAATAAAAATGACCAAAAACCTTTTTTGACAAAATAAGAATTAGCAAATGATTGTCAAAGAAGCATACAGAGATATGTAATAACTTGATAAAAGCAAAGTAGAGATAATAAACTTCAGTTTGGTCTAAAATCAAAATCTAACAATATGCTGTTACAAAGAAAAATGTGTAAAGAAATATTAAAATAAAGTATGGATAAAGGAATTGTCTATCTCTACTTCTAGAATTTCCAGCTGCTCTCCAAAGGCCAAAAAAAAAGTTTACTAAATTGAAATCACTTAACTAAATTTAAATTAATTAAAAATTATTGTAGCCCTTTTGTTTCCCGTTCCCTAAATAGAAAAAAATAGAAACTAAATATTATGTAGCATAATAAAAGAGAAGTATTAAATAGAAGAATGAAAAGGAGTCTTTTTTAAATAAAAAAAACATCATTTTTGAAAATTACATCATTTGATGTAAGAATAAACTAGCTAAAATCCCTCTACTGATAGGATTAATATTTCAACAATTGAGATCCTATGTTACTGTTTTATGTTGGGCTAGAGTACATCTTTCACCCACTCCATTGTGCTACATGCTTGGGAAATGACAAAAATTGATGATTCCAGCCGAAATTGAGGGCATTGCTCAAACCAGAGGACTAAGCATTGGGACATTTTCTGGTGAAAGAATCAAAGGATCCAGTTGTCGTCTTGTGAGTAGGATAGTAGTTTCTGAAAAGTGAAGGACATCATGTGACGTAAAGAGATGTTAAGTCATCCAACAAATAATTTTTTTTAGTGTTTTACCTTACACTTAACTCTAAGATCTACAAAATGTCCCTCCTCTTCCTAGTACTTATACCAAGAAAGCTCAAATGCTCAGAAAGTGAACTCACGAGGAATCAAATACTTGTGGATTGTAAACTCTGAGAGTGTCTCAAAAATTTACCTAAGGTGGATGCAGCGAAAAGAGAACACTTCTATACTGCTGGTAGGGATGTGAACTAGTATAACCACTACGGAAAACAGTGTGGAGATTCCCCAAAGAACTCAAAGTAGAACTACCATTTGATCCAGGAATTCCATTCCTGGGTATCTACCCAGAGGAAAAGATGTCATTATCCAAAAAAAAAAAAAAAAAAAGATACTGGCACAGCATGTAATAGCAACACAATTCCAAGTTGCAAAAATATGGAACCAGCCCCAAATGTCCATCAATCAATGAGTGGATAAAGAAATTTTGTGTGTGTGTGTGTATTCCATCATACACACACACACACACACACACACACACACACGATGGAATACTATTCAGCCATACAAAGGAACAAATTAATGGCATTTGCAGCAACCTGGATGGAACTGGAGAATATTATTCTAAGTGAAGTAACTCAGGAATGGAAAACCAAACATTGTATGTTCTCAA